>NC_000010.11:83324913-83476428 GCF_000001405.40 Homo sapiens
GACCAATAGAAAAAAATAGAGAAGCTAGAAATAAAGCCAAATACCTACAACCAGCTGATCTTTGACAAGCAGGTGAAAACGTACGCTAGAGTAAGGACCCCCTATTCAATAAACGCTGCTGGGAAAATCTGATAGTCATATGCAGAAGAATGAAACTTGATCCCTGTCTCTCACCATATTCAATAATCAGCTCAAAGTGGATTGAAGACTTAAATCTAAGACTTGAAACTACAAAAATTACAGAAGAAAATCTAGGAAAAACATTTTTGGACATCAGCCAAGGCAAATACTTTATTACTAGACCCCATATTTTATTAATCCATCCATTATTGATGGCCATTTGAGTTGTTTCTGCCTTTTTGATATTATAAATAATGCTGTTGTAAAAATTCTAGTACAATTTCTGTTTGAGCATGTTTTGATTTCTCTCTGATGTATGCTTAGGAGCAGAATTACTGAGCCATATTGTATGAAGAGGGTTCTTATTTCTCCATATTTTTTGCAATGTTTTTTATTGTCTGGCTTATTGATCCTAGTGAAGGTGAAGTGATAGCTCATCATGCTTTGATTTGTATTTCTCTGATGACAAATGATGTCAAACATCTTTTAATGTGCTTGTTGGCCATTTGTATCCCTTTCTTGAAATAAATGTCTATTCAGATCCTTTGCTCACTTACAATTGGGTTATCTGTCTTCGTATTATTCAATTGTAAGTGTACTTTACATATTCTGAATACAAGTTTCTTGATGAATACATGTTTTGTAAATGCTTTTTCCCATTCTGTGGTTTGTTTTTTCACTTTTTCATGGTGTCCTTTGAAGCACAAATGAGTTTAATTTTGCTGAAGTCTAATTAAACATTTTTTGCATGTGATTTAGTGTCATATATAAGAATATTTGCCAAATATAAAGTCATGAATGTTTATCCCTATGTTTTCTTCTAAACATTAAATGGTTTTCACTGATACATATAGGTCCTTGTTGCATTTTAGGCTAATATTTGTAAAGGGTGTGAGGTAAGGATCCAACTTAATTCTTTTGCATATGGCCATGCAGTTGCCCTAGTGTCCTTTGTGGAAAAAAATTCCCACCCCACCCTGCATTGACAAAAAGATAAGTTGATCATAGAAACATGAGTTTATTCCCAGACTCTCCATTTTATTTTACTAAACTATATGTTTGTTTTTGTGTCAGTATCACACTATTTTACTTGCTTTTGCTTTGTAAGAAGTTTGGGGAGTATGCCATCTTAATAATATTAAATCTGATCCATAAACATGGGATAATTTTCCATTTATTTCAGTCTTATTTATTCGGTCTTAGAACTGTGCTGTAGTGTTCGAAACATAGGTTTGCGCTTCTTTTATTAAATTTAATTGCATGTATTTTATTCTTTCAAATGTTATTGTAAATGGGCTTGTTTTCTTAATTTCAATTTAGATTGTTCATTGCAAGTGTATATAAATACAATAAATTTTTGTACATTGTTCTTGTTATCTTACAAACGTGATGAACTTTTTGGTTAGACCTAACAGTTTTGTAGCAGATCTTCAAGGGTTTTCTATATACAAGATCATGTCATCTGTGAATCGAGATAATTGCAGCTTTTTCTTTATAATTTATTTATAATAAAATGTCTTTTACAATAAAATGTCTTTTATAAAAGACACTTTATTGTGTGATATTTTATTCTTGTAATATTTCTCTCTGGTTTTGGTAACAGGGCAATACTGGATTCTTAACATGGTTGAAAGGTAGAAAATTTCAACCAATTGAAATGTGTTTTCTTCTATTCTATGTTTTTAGCAGAGTTTATGAAGAATTGGCATTAATTGTTTAAAGGTTTGGTAAAATTCAATAGTGAAGCCATCTTTGCAGGCTTTTCTTTGCATGTGTTGTGTGTGTGTTGGGGGAGGTGTGTGTGTATGTGTTTTGGGTTACTAATTTAATCTCTTCATTTGTTAAAGTTTGTTCAGCTTTTTTCTTTTTTAGTCAGTTATGATAGTTTAGGTCGTTTTAGGATTTTGTCAATTTTCTCTACCATCTAATTTATTGACATAAAATTGTTCATAGTTTTAGCTTATGAATCTTTTTATTTTTGTAAGATCAGTAGTAATGACACTTCTTTCATTCCCCATTCTAATAATTTCAATCTTTACTCTTTTTTCTTGGTCAGTCTAAATAAAGGTTTGTCAATTTTGTTGAGCCTTTCAAAAAACAGCTTTCAGTTCTATTGATTTTCTCTATTTTTGTATTCTCTATTTGATTTATCTTCACTCTAAATTTATTATTTCCTATCTTCTGCTTGCTTTAAGTTTTGTTTACTCTTTTTTTTCTGCTGTTATAAAGCTCTACATTTTCCTCTATTGCTTTACCTGCATCCTGTAATTTTTGGTATGGTCTCTCTTCATATTTATTAATCTCAAAGTATTTCTGATTTGCCTTTTATTTCTTCTTTGGCTCATTGACTATTTAGAGGTGTGTTATTTAATTTAAAAATCTGTGGATTTCCCAGATATTTTCATGTTATCAATTTCTAGTGCTATTTTATTGTAGTTAGAGAATACACTGTATTTTTTCTATCATTTCCAATTTATTGAAGCCTTCTTAACATTCCATGTGCATTTAAGAAAAAAATGCATATTTTGGTGTTGTTTAATAAAGTTTTCTGTAGATATCCGTAAGGTCTAGTTGGTTTATAGGGTTGTGCTAACCTTCTATTTCTGTGTTAAACATCTGTTGACTTGTTCTACCAATTATTAATAGTGGGCTTTTGAAGGCTCCAACTATTATTCTTGAATTTTGTTTCTCTTTCCATTTCTGTCAGTTTTCCTTCATATATTTTGTTAAACTGTTATTAGGTGCATATGTGGTTATAACTGTTATATATTCCCTTTTTTTTTTTTTTTTTTTTTTTTGACAGAGTCCCTCTCTGTCGCCAGGCTGGAGTGCAGTGGCGTGATCTCGGCTCACTGCAACCTCCGCCTCCTGGGTTCAAGCGATTCTCCTGCCTCAGCCTCCCAAAGTGCTGGGATTACAGGCGTGAGATGAATTGAACTTTTTTTTTTTTTTTTTCAGACAGAGTTTCTCTCTTGTTGCACAGGCTGGAGTTGCACAGGCGCAATCTCAGCTCATTGCACCCTCTGCCTCGCGGGTTCAAGCGATTCTCCTGCTTCAGCTTCCGAGTAGCTGGGATTACAGGCATGTGCCACCACACCCGGCTAATTTTGTATTTTTAGTAGAGATGGGGTTTCTCCATGTTGGTCAGGCTGGTCTGGAACTCCAGACCTCAGGTGATCCACCCGCCTCAGCCTCCCAAAGCTCTGGGATTACAGGTGTGAGCCACCACGCCCGGCCGAATTCAACTTTTTATCATTATAAAATGTATCTTTAATCTCTAATAACTTTAAAAAATTTTAAAGTCTATTTTCTCTGATTACCAGTACAGCTACTATAGTTTTCTTGTGATTGATTTTTGCATGATGTATTTTTTTATTATTTTCCTTTCAATCTATTTGTATCTTTGAGTATAAAGCATGTCTCTTATGAACAGAATACAGTGAGATCATGTTTTTTAATCCATTCTGACAATCTCTGCCTTTATTGATATAGTGGGATTCACATGTGCCATTTTGCTTTTTCTTTTCTGTCTTTTTTGTTCCTTTATTCCTCTTCTACTGTTCTTTTTACATTAAATAAATACCTTCTAATGAAACCTATTAATTTTTTAAATAATTATTCAGCTTATATGTTGAGTTCATTTTTAGTTGTTGGTCTAGGATTTAATATATACAGCTTAACCTATCAGAATCAGCTTCAGGTTTATACTAGCTTAATTTCAATAATATATGGAAGCATTACTCCTTTATGTTATTATTCCTTACCTCTGCTCTTTCAGTGGTATTATTATTATTATACATATTATATTCACTGTTACAAACCCAATTATATACATTGCTATAATTTTACTTTGCCATCTGTATTTATTTCTTTATCCCGTTGCAGCTTTGCTCCCACATCACTCTGTGCTATTTTTGGCAAATATATTACATATACATTACATTTCTACATATTATATTTCCAAATATACATTATATACATATTATTTTGTTACTTTTTAAATAAGTTAGAAGAATGGAGAAAATGTTTGCATTTATATTGTCTTTTATAATTATATAATT
Organism: Homo sapiens; assembly: GCF_000001405.40. NCBI lineage: Eukaryota > Metazoa > Chordata > Mammalia > Primates > Hominidae > Homo > Homo sapiens. The sequence goes on from NC_000010.11 coordinate 83,329,095, forward strand.
ACCTCCACCGGTGCTAGTCGCAAATTCTCTTTATTTGTTTGTCTGGGAAAGTCTTTATTTTTCCTTCAATTTTTAAAGAAAACTTTGCTGGATAAGACTTCTCTTAGTTGACAAGGTTTTCTTTGAGCATTTTCAATATGTTATCCCATAACCTCTTGCCCCTATTACTTTTGCTAATATATTAGCTATAAATCTTTTTGTTATTCTCTCATATGTAATGAATATTTTTATCTTGTTTCTTTCAATGATTCTTTCCTTATGTTTGACTTTTAACATTTACTATGATGTGTCTGTTAGTGAATTTATTTGCATTTATTCTTCTTGTAGTTTTTTGAGCTTCCTGGATATGTAGGTTATTATTTTTTAATAAATTTGGTAAGTTTTTCATCGTTAAAAAAATTATATATGTGTTACTCCTTTCTCTCGTTTCCCTCTAGAGGGCCTATCATGTGTATGCTGGTGTGCTTAGTGGTCTCCCACATTTCTCTAAGGCACCCTTCATTTTTCTTCATTTTTTTTGTCTCTGTTATTCTGCTTACATAATCTGTATCATATACCTTTATGCTTGCTTATTTCTTCTACTAGTTAAAATCTGAGCCCCTCAAGTGAGATTATTATTTCAGCTACTGTGCTTTTCAACTTCTGAATTTCCATTTCAGTATTTTTTTATAGTTTCTCTTTATTGACATTTTCTATTTGGTACAACATTGTCATCATATGTTACTTTACTTTTTAAATCATGGTTTTCTTTAGACCTGTGAACCTGTTTAGTCTTTTGCTGATAATATCAACATCTGGTAGCTCTTGAAGGCAATTTGTTACCTGCTTTTCTCCGCTTTATGGGTCAGGTTTCCTCCCTCCTATAGTACTAAGCCCTCTACATTGCTGCTCAAGGAAGCACATCTTCAGATATATTCACAGTTACCCTGAAATAGAGTCATTTTGGTAGGGCTCTATTCCTCTTTTTCCCCGACCACACCTAGTTGTGAAACTCCAACCAATTGTCAGATCATTCCTACTGTTGTTTTTGACACTGCCCTGGAACATAAATCCCTCTGCAAACTAATCCCATCAAATTCAGGTACATTTGAAGGAATATGTTCTGAGGTCAATGGTTGGTATTTTTTCTGACCTCAGAAAGATTCCTCCCAGTCATATGATTCTCCAGTATTCTCTTGAAAACTAGCCAGTCCACAGTTTAGCCTGTATCTTGACTCTCACCTTTTTCTACAACCTCTATGGGATATATTGTGGTGAATAAAGGAACATTGTCTTTTCACCAAAGAACTTCTCTTGGAGAGGGCCCTTTTCTACACTCAATTGCAAATGAAGTCAGTTATTGAGAAAGAGATTAGGAACTATCTGTTTTAAGGTCCTATTCTCTCCCCACCTCCATATCAAAGTTTCTGGCCAAAGCTCTAAAGTTAGTTAGGGACAATGGCCAACTTTTCTCTGATGTCCCTACTCTAGGACCTGAGGGTTTGGGCAGAAATGGGGTGGAGCTGCCTGAGGTCTTCTTGGCTTGCTTCTGATAGCATGGAACCATCACCTCTCATACTATATCAAGAGTGATCAGGGCTCCTACGTCTCAGCATCCTGCATTCAAGATGCAGACTCCATTTCACAAGACAAGGAGCTGGTGGAAGAAGGGAGCCCCCATGTCTTAACTCACTCACTCAGATTTAGCCTCAGAAACAGATAACTGGGAGAAAGATGAAAAATGCTGACATTCTGCTCCTCCTAAGAAGAAAGTCTGATTGGGAGCTAGGGACAGAGTGTTCTGTGTTCTTGGCTACAGTTTCTGGAGTGTAATCTCCATCTCACTGAGCTGGGAGGAAGGAAAAAGTCTTGTTTCAATTACTACAGATTTTCACTTTTCTTACTGAACTTTAAAAAATTTTCTTTAATATATGATTCTTCATTTGCTGTTTGTTCCTGCATCATGTCCAAAGGCTTTACATTGCTGTTTAAAAAACAATTTTCTGCTAGCTTTTTCTAGGGAGTGCGTCAGCAGAAATCCTGATACTGTCTTGAGAAGTCAATTCCACAAGTACATTTTAATATAATGTCCTGTGGCCCCAGGTTTCTCATGCAAATTAAAGACACAATAATATATTCTTTCATATACTGGAGAAAAGACCCATACACTTATCTTTAGAGTGATAATCTCTATTCTATTTTTAAAGCAATCAGGCTGTAAGGTATTCAAATCAGAAAATAGAGAGTCTTACCATTTATTAACATTATATCCATTCCTCCTATCTGCATGAATATTCAAGTACTTAGAGTCCGCCTCAACTACATAGGTAATTTTACTAGTCTTCAAATGTCTTCTATTTCCTGAAATTTCTTTATGTTTTGGTAATGGTATTATTTTGTAAGCCCAAATAAGTTTATGCCACTTCTCTTTAAAATCCTTCAGTAGTTATCCTCTGTCAACAGAAAAAGTATTGCAAGCTCTTTGGTTTGTCATTCAAGAATCTTTATGATAAACCCCACCCCAGCCTTATCTTCTCTTGCTTCTACTTTGACACTCTAAATTTAAGACATGCCAAATTGCATACAATCTCTAGAACATGGAATAATTTTTATTTTTTCAAGACATTGAATATAAGATCCTCTTTTCCCCCTAAAATATTCTTCCTATTTCTGTCTCATATTACCCAGCTCATTTATTCATATTTTTAATTTTTTACTATATTTTGAGATTCTACTATGTCTTAGACATCATAATTGACAGAGGTTATACTGTGGTAAGTGAAAAGAACATTGTCTTCTTATCAAAGAGCTTTTGACTTGGTGACTTGGTGATAAAGAGACTTTTTGGACAAATAATTCATCTAATCACATGATAGATGTTACTAAAAGAAGACGACTTGACTTATTTGTGTAGACTGAAGAAGCTCTTGAGGAAGAACTTCTAAGCACTAATGTAACTATTAGATAGATAGATTGATGGATGGATAGATGTAGAGGTGGAGACATTAAGTAAAGAATGTAAGGCATAGAACAAACTTTTCAGGCAATGTAAATCAACATGCAGTGTAAAAGCAGTGAATTATTAGTGCACTGAATGAAGACCAATATAGCTAGAGTGTAGGAAGCAGAGCATGGGAGTTGAAGTGGGAGAGCCAGATCCTGGAGGGTTACATGAGCTAATTTTTCTTAACAGCATTAAAAGGCCTTAAGGAAGAACATTCTCTGACCACAAATAACGTGTTTTTACTATTAGAAAAACATAGTAGAAACATATTAGAAAAACATACTAGCCTCTTCAAACCTGGAGGAACATTATCTGTTTTGTGGCCCCACCAAGCTTTGCACATGCCTCTGCTGTAACATCATCATGCCCTGTTAACTTGTTTCCATCTTGGTCTCTTCAACTAGCTTAGGAGGTTCTAGGACAAATGGCTCATTTTTATATGGACAGTAGTCCCCTCTTATCAATGGAACGTACATTCCAAGAACCCCATTGGATGCCTGCAATTGTAGACAGTACTGAACTCTGTGTGTACTAACTTTATTCTTATATTGTAGGAGAACATACATTCGTACAATAAACTTCAATTTGTAAATTAAGCATACTAAGAGATTTTAAAAACTAATAATAAAATAGAAAAATTTAAAATGTATACTGTAATGAAATTATGTGAATGTGGTTTTTCTCTCTTATTCTCTCAGAATATCTTACTGTACTGCACTTGCCCCTTTTCTTCTTGTGATCTATCTAATAACAGAGAGGGTGACTAAGTGACTAAGGAAGAGGTAGTGTGTATACAGCGTGGATACACTTGACAAAGAGATGATTCACCTCCCTTGTGAACAGAAGTGGCAGGACATGAGATTTCATCAGGCTACTCAGAGAGGCACACAATTTAAAACTATTGTTTATTTATGGAATTTTCCATTTAATATTTCAGACCATGGAGGAACAGGTAACTGAAACTATGGAAAGCAAAACCACAAATAAATAACCACAAACTACTTATTCCTACATTTCCATATCTAAAACAAGACCTGAAACATAAGGAGTTTTAAAACATGTTAAGCATGGAAATAAATTACAGAGAATAAAGCATATTAGTTTTATTTATTTGACTATAAAGAGCTGAACAAGAGCTACTTACAGATAAAAACAAATCTCTATACATGTCAATGTTCCTGGACAACTCGGAACTTGAGCAGCAAATTAATGCACATACATTGAAACCATGAGAAATGAGGAGAAGGGAAGCCTTGGTACTCATCCTTCTTGATGCCATTTACTTAAATCTAAATTGAATACATAAACAGGTCATCATATAAATTAGCAATTTATTTAACTATTTTGTTGCTGTTATTCTTGGAGGCAGGATTCAGAGATGAGGAAGAGTCATTCAAGATAATTAATATAAGGAAGAAGTATAAAACACAAGATAATCAATACACTTTATTGTCTTGTAAGGATTATTTAATGCCATGGTGTAGACAGACAGATACATGAACACCAAGAAGAAACCTTTAAGCAGAGCAGATTTGTAGATACTGAGTGAAAGCTAGGATATTTGCAATGATACTGTTCCTTAGGTTGCTATTAAATGTTCCAGGATAGGGTACCTGAATAAAGGTGTGCCAGTCATGATATTCCAGTCTCCTACATATACTTGATTGACACAGAGATGAATGCTTAACCCAAGTTGAATCAATCTGAGTCATACCTTGGACTTTTTGAAGTGTAACTGAGAAAGAATGACTGGCTTTCTTCAGTGCCCTACTTGGGAATTGTTGGTAGCCATATTTTTCATCTTGTAATCTACTTTCCAATAAAAGAGACCAATCAAACTGACAATCTGTGAGAATCTGAGACTAGGGAGGAATGTTCAAAGTATTGGATCCAGGAGATACGAGGCCCAGCTCCATCCTTCTTTTCTTATCGCTCAGTCATTCAATCTTTGCTTGGAATACACGAACCAATAATTTCCATTATTACCTGAGAAGGATCCAACTGAGTTTCTCTTTCGATACTATATTGGTGAGTAGAAAGGCAAGTTTCACAAAAATATAAATAGTTTGATATAATTTTAATAAAACTTAAAATTTATATGTATTTGAATATAAAAGTCATCATAGAAGATAAATAGAAAAGTGATAACATTGAGTTACCCTTGGAATAGTGAAGAAGGGGAGAAGGAATATCTCTCATGTTTATATTGCATACTTCTATATTGTGTAAAATTTTAGCAGTGAGACCAGCCTGGCCAACATGGTGAAACCCCATCTCTATTAAAAATGCAAATATTACCTGGATGTGGTTGTGCATGCCTGTAGTCCCAGCTACTCAGGAGGCTGAGGCAGGAGAATTTCTTGAACCCAGGAGGCGGAGGTTGCAGTGAGCCGAGATCACGCCACTGCAGTCCAGCCTGAGTGACAGATCGAGACCTCCTCTCAAAAAAAAAAAAAAAAAAAAAAAAAAAAAAAAAATTAGCAATGAGCTCTATTAATTTTATAATTAAAAAGTAATTTTGAAAGGCAATAAAAAATTTCTAGGAAAAACATATAAAGAGAAACAAATGAGTGCTTTGAATCCACTCTCAATCATTCCAATACCAAGTGCACCTGCATTGACTGATTCCTCAGCAAAGCCAGTAGAGAGTTGTGATGGTTTCTGATATAAAGCCAAAGTTGCAGAGCTACTTCCTAACTCACAAACGCCTAATTTATGAACACCTGGCACATAAAGAGAACGGCTACTGGCCGAAGCTAACTTGCCTGGAGACAGTACGGAAGAGTAGAAAACACTCTTGAGCTTTGCCGTCAGACTGTTTACTTTTGAATTCTGCGTTTCTATTTACTAGCTTTGGAGTATCAGGCAAGTTATTTATCCTTTCTGTGTCTCAGCTCCTCATCAATAAGATATGCTAACAAGGCTCTTAACTCAAAAGATTGCTATGAAGTTTAATAGAAAGAATGCATGACAATCCCTGCCTAAGCAAGTGTTAGCCACCAATGTTACCAGGAAGCAGCTTGCCCTCTCAGTTCTCAAGATTTCACTACATCACCATATTCTTTCTATAATGGCAAGCCTGGTGTCTGTTACCAGGTACAGACAGCAAATCCCTTGGGGGTAATGATTTTCCTGTCAACGGTGACAAATTTCTAAATGCTGGAATCAATTTCCTCAGCATTAATTCTCGTCCCACCTATCCGTACATTATTTGACTGGAGCAAAGCTACCTTTAAGTTTATGAAGCTCACCACAATCAAAGCAGATACCTTGTTCTATTATATGAATACTATTTCAAAAATTCCAAGATGCACATTATTTTTACATAGTACCAATTTATGAAATCTGCTTAGAGTTGGTGGAGTATTTCAATCCATATCAGCCAAGCAGCAGGTCAGAAGTTACTTGTGGGGTAGATTGTTATTGCTTGATGGGAGCAACTTGGTCATAGCTATTCACAGTATCATCACTTTGACTTTGTATTATGCACATTGTTGGTACTAGATGTGGTAAGCTTAGCTGCCATTTAAAATGTCCTTGAAAAGAATACATGATGACCAAGGCTTAAAACAAAAGACACTGTATACTCAGAAAGTTGTGGAATTGAGGAGCATGATATATATTAGAACTCTATGTCTAAATATATTTAAAATAAAATTTCTACATAAGAAAGCACAGCGTCAGAATTTGACTGCATTTTTTTTCTTCAGTAATACATAAAATAATGGTGCTATAATAGATGGTAACTTAAATTCTTTTGTTGTTGTTGTTGTTACAGAGTCTCACTCTGTTGCCTAAGCTGGAGTGCTGTGGCAAGATCTCGGCTCACTGCAACCTCCACCTCGTGTGTTCAAGCAATTCTCGTGCCTCAGGCTCCTGAGTAGCTGGGATTACTGGCGTTTGCCACCATGCCCAGCTTTTTTTTTTTTTTTTTCTTTTTTTAGTAGAGATAGGGCTTTGACATGTTGGCCAGGCTGGTCTGGAACTCCTGACATCAGGTTATCCGCCCACCTCAGCCTCCCAAAGTGCTGGGATTACGGGTGAGTCACCATGCCTGGACTAACTTAAATTCAAAAAAGATAGTAGTTCACATAAAGAAATATGTGGGCCTCTTTTCTCCCAGAGTTTCCTGTTTCACACAAGCCAATGATCCCTCAATGCAGTATGTGCTAATGACAAAACATGTATCAGATCTAGTAGTATGTAATGTTTTTCTCCCAGCAGAAGCCAAAGCTTTTTACTTTAACCAAAATAAAGACCTCTCAGTATTATTTACAGTGGGTATGCTTTTGCTTATAGCTCCTGGAGTTTTTCTGCTATTATGAGCAAAATAATTTAGTGATTAATCTGGAGTCTATTTTCATACAGAAGTCTTTACAAGTGGACCCTGCCACTTAATAGAGAAGACAATTTCCTGAAGAAGAATGCATTTTCTCATAGAAAAGATGTACATTTTATGGGTTAAAAACTTTAGTCCTAAGGGCCAGTTGCGGTGGCTCATGCCTGTAATCCCAGCACTTTGGGAGGCTGAGGCGGGCGGATCACGAGGTCAGGAAATTGAGACCATCCTGGCTAACACAGTGAAACTCCGTCTCTACTAAAAATACCAAAAAATTATCCAGGCGTGGTGGCGGACGCCTGTAGTCCCAGCTACTTGGGAGGCTAAGGCAGGATAATGGTGTGAACCCAGGAGGTGGAGCTTGCAGTGAGCTGAGATTGCGCCACTGCACTCCAGCCTGGGCGACAGAGCAGGACTCTGCCTCAAACAAAACAACAACAACAACAACAACAACAACAACAACAACAAAAACTTTAGTCCTCAAATATCTATCAAAGTCGTCTTGTAGATATAGTGATAATATCAAATCTCTAGTGCTGAAATAATATTAATTTGTACCTATGTGGTTAAAAAAATTCCTAAAAGAAACAAGAGGACTGTCCTACCTCTGGCTGCTGTCACTGACAGGGAAGAGCAATGCAGGACCACCCAGAGATTTGCAGCAGAATCCTGGTTGTACTAAGAATCCAGAGACAGGGATCAAGAAGGTCGGATCATCAAGGAGAAAAGTGGGAGTTTTAAGGGAGAAGTAGAGAGGTGTTCTCATTGGAAAACCCATTATATTACAGAAGAAGCCAATAGGTCCAAAGATAAATCTTAAAGACTAAAGCAGCTCAAGGAGATGGGACAGTGACTCTGACTTCCATACACTGTAGAACTCCTTTCACACTCCCATCTCAGAGAGCTTCCCCTAAATCTTTTTTTTTTTTTCAGTTAAAGCTATTTTCTTTTCTTTTTTTATTTTTTATTATACTTTAAGTTCTAGGGTACATGTGCACAACGTGCAGGTTTTTTACATAAGCATACATGTGCCATATTGGTGTGCTGCACCCGTTAACTCGACATTTACGTTAGGTATATCTCCTAATGCTATCCCTCCGCCCTAACCCCACCCCACGACAGGCCCCAGTGTGTGATGCTCCCCACCCTGTGTCCAAGTGTTCTCATTGTTCAATTCCCACCTATGAGTGAGAACATGCGGTGTTTGGTATTCTGTCCTTGCAATAGTTTACTGAGAATGATTGTTTCCAGCTTCATCCATGTCCCTACAAAGGACATGAACTCATCCTTTTTTATGGCTGCATAGTATTCCATGGTGTATATGTGCCACATTTTCTTCATCCAGTCTATCATTGATGGACATTTGGGTTGGTTCCAAATCTTTGCTATCGTGAATAGTGCCGCAATAAACATACGTGTGCATGTGCCTTTATAGCAGCATGATTTATAATCCTTTGGGTATATACCCAGTAATGGGATGGCTGGGTCAAATGGTATTTCTAGTTCTAGATCCTTGAGGAATCGCCACACTGTCTTCCACAATGGTTGAACTAGTTTACAGTCCCACCAACAGTGTAAAAGCGTTTCTATTTCTCCACAGCCTCTCCAGCACCTGTTGTTTCCTGACTTTTTAATGATTGCCATTCTAACTGGTGTGAGATGGTATCACATTGTGGTTTTGATTTGCATTTTTCTGATGGCCAGTGATGATGAGCATTTTTTCATGTGTCTGTTGGCTGCATAAATGTCGTCTTTTGAGAAGTGTCTGTTCATATCCTTTGCCCACTTTTTGATGGAGTTGTTTGATTTTTTTTCTTGTAAATTTGATTGAGTTCTTTGTAGATTCTGGATATTCGCTCTTTGTCAGATGGGTAGATTTAAAAAATGTTCTCCCATTCTGTAGGTTGCCTGTTCACCCTGCTGGTAGTTTATTTGGCTGTGCAGAAGCTCTTTAGTTTAATTAGATATCATTTGTCAATTTTGGCTTTTGTTGCCACTGCTTTTGGTGTTTTAGTCATGAAGTCCTTGCCCATGCCTATGTCCTGAATGGTACTGCCTAGGTTTTCTTCTAGGGTTTTTATGGTTTTAGGTCTAACATTTAAGCCTTTAATCCATCTTGAATTAATTTTTGTATAAGGTGTAAAGAAGGGATCCAGTTTCAGCTTTCTACATATGGCTAGCCAGTTTTCCCAGCACCATTTATTAAATAGGATATCCTTTCCCCATTTCTTGTTTTTGTCAGGTTTGTCAAAGATCAGATGGTTGTAGATGTGTGGTACTATTTTTCAGGGCTCTGTTCTGTTCCATTGGTCTATATCTCTGTTTTGGTACCAGTACCATACTGTTTCGGTTACTGTAGCCTTGTAGTATAGTTTGAAGTCAGGTAGTGTGATGCCTCCAGCTTTGTTCTTTTGGCTTAGGATTGTCTTGGCAATCCGGGCTCTTTTTTGGTTCCATATGAACTTTAAAGTAGTTTTTTTCCAATTCTGTGAAGAAAGTCATTGGTAGCTTGATGGGAATGGCATTGAATCTATAAATTACCTTGGGTAGTATGGCCATTTTCACAATATTGATTCTTCCTATCCATGAGCATGGAATGTTCTTCCATTTGTTTGTGCCCTCTTTTATTTCGTTGAGCAGTGGTTTGTAGATCTCCTTGAAGAGGTCCTTCACATCCTTTGTAAGTTGGATTCCTAGGTATTTTATTCTCTTTGAAGCAATTGTGAATGGGAGTTCACTCATGATTTGGCTCTGTTTGTCTGTTATTGGTATATAGGAATGCTTGTGATTTTTTCACATTGATTTTGTATCCTGAGACTTTGCTGAAGTTGCTTATCACCTTAAGGAGATTTGGGGCTAAGACGATGGGGTTTTCTAAATATACAATCATGTCATCTGCAAACAGGGACAATTTGACTTCCTCTTTTCCTAATTGAATACCCTTTATTTCTTTCTCCTGCCTGATTGCTCTGGCCAAAACTTCCAACACTATGTTGAACAGGAGTGATGAGAGAGGGCATCCCTGTCTTGTGCCCATTTTCAAAGGGAATGCTTCCAGTTTTTGCCCATTCAGTATGATATTGGCTGTGGGTTTGCCATAAATAGCTCTTATTATTTTGAGATACATCCCATCAATTCATAGTTTCTTGAGAGTTTTTAGCATGAAGTGCTGTTGAATTTTGTCGAAGGCCTTTTCTGCATCTATTGAGATAATCATGTGGTTTTTGTCTTTGGTTCTGTTTATATGATGCATTACATTTATTGATTTGTGTATGTTGAACCAGCCTTGCATCCCAGGGATGAAGCCAACTTGATCATGGTGGATAAGCTTTTTGATGTGCTGCTGGATTTGGTTTGCCAGTATTTTACTGAGGATTTTTGCCACAATGTTCATCAGGGATATTGGTCTAAAATTCTCTTTTTTGTGTGTGTCTCTGCCAGGCTTTGGTATCAGGATGATGCTGGCCTCATAAAAGGAGCTAGGGAGGATTCCCTCTTTTTCTATTGATTGGAATAGATTCAGAAGGAACGGTACCATCTCCTCTTTGTACCTCTGGTAGAATTCGGCTGTGAATCCATCTGGTCCTGGACTTTTTTGGTTGATAGGATACTAATTATTGCCTCAATTTCAGAGTCTGTTATTGGTCTATTCAGGGATTCAACTTCTTCCTGGTTTAGTCTTGGTAGGGTGTATGTGTCCAGGAATTTATCCATTTCTTCTAGATTTTCTAGTTTATTTGCATAGAGGTGTTAATAGTATTCTCTGATGGTAGTTTATATTTCTGTGGGATCAGTGGTGATATCCCCTGTATCATTTTTTATTGCATCTATTTGATTCTTCTCTCTTTTCTTCTTTATTAGTCTTGCTAGTGGTCTACCAATTTTGTTGCTCTTTTCCAAAACCAGCTCCTGGATTCATTGATTTTTTGAAGGGTTTTTTGTGTCTCTATCTCCTTCAGTTCTGCTCTGATCTTAGTTATTTCTTGCCTTCTGCTAGCTTTTGAATGTGTTTGCTCTTGCTTCTCTAGTTCTTTTAATTGTGATGTTAAGGTGTCAATTTTAGATCTTTCCTGCTTCCTCTTGTGGGCATTTAGTGCTATAAATTTCCGTCTACACGCTGCTCTAAATGTGTCCCAGAGATTCTGGTATGTTGTGTCTTTGTTCTCATTGGTTTCAAAGAATATTTTTATTTCTGCCTTCCGTTCGTTATGTACCCAGTAGTCATTCAGGAGCAGGTTGTTCAGTTTCCATGTAGTTGAGCAGTTTTGAGTGAGTTTCTTAATCCTGAGTTCTAGTTTGATTACACTGTGGTCTGAGAGACAGTTTGTTACAATTTCTGTTCTTTTACATTTGTTGAGGAGTGCTTTACTTCCAACTATGTGGTCAATTTTGGAATAAGTGCAATGTGGTGCTGAGGAGAATGTATATTCTGTTGATTTGGGGTGGAGAGTTCTGTGGATATCTATTAGGTCCACTTGGTGCAGAGCTGAGTTCAATTCCTGGATATCTTTGTTAACTTTCTGTCTTGTTGATCTGTCTAATGTTGACAGTGGGGTGCTAAAGTCGCCATTATTATTGTGTGGGAGTCTAAGTCTCTTTGTAGGTCTCTAAGGACTTGCTTTATGAATCTGGGTGCCCCTGTATTGGGTGCATATATATTTAGGATAGTTAGCTCTTCTTGTTGAATTGATCCCTTTACCATTATGTAATGGCCTTCTTTGTCTCTTTTGATCTTTGTTGGTTTAAAGTCTGTTTTATCGGAGACTAGGATTGCAACCCCTGCTTTTTTTTTCTTTTCCTTTTGCTTGGTAGATCTTCCTCCATCCCTTTATTTTGAGCCTATGTGTGTCTCTGCACGTGAGATGGGTCTCCTGAATACAGCACACTGATGGGTCTTGACTCTTTATCCAATTTGCCAGTCTGTGTCTTTTAATTGGAGCATTTAGCCCATTTGCATTTAAGATTAATATTGTTATGTGTGAATTTGGTCCTGTCATTATGATGTTAGCTGGTTATTTTGCTCATTAGTTGATGCAGTTTCTTCCTAGCATCGATGATCTTTACAATTTGGCATGTTTTTGCAGTGGCTGGTACCAGTTGTTCCTTTCCATGTTTAGTGCTTCCTTCAGGAGCTCTTGTAAGGCAGGCCTGGTGGTGACAAAATCTCTCTGCATTTGTTTGTCTGTAAAGGGTATTATTTCTCCTTCACTAGTGAAGCTTAGTTTGGCTGGATGTGAAATTCTGGGTTGGAAATGCTTTTCTTCAAGAATGTTGAATATTGGCCCCCACTCTCTTCTGGCTTATAGAGTTTCTGCAAGAAATCTGCTGTTAGTCTGATGGGCTTCCCTTTGTGGGTAACCCAACCTTTCTCTCTGGCTGCTCTTAACATTTTTTCCTTCATTTCAACTTTGGTGAATCTGACAATTATGTGTCTTGGAGTTGCTCTTCTTGAGGAGTATCTTTCTGGTGTTCTCTGTATTTCCTGAATTTGAATGTTGGCTGCCTTGCTAGGTTGGGGAAGTTCTCCTGGATAGTATCCTAAGAGTGTTTTCCAACTTGCTTCCATTCTCCCCGTCACTTTCAGGTACACCAATCAGAAGTAGATTTGGTCTTTTCACATAGTCCCATATTTCTTGGAGGCTTTGTTTGTTTCTTTTTACTCATTTTTCTCTAAACTTCTCTTCTCACTTCATTTCATTTATTTGATCTTCAATCACTGATACCCTTTCTTCCACTTGATCAAATCGGCTACTGAAGCTTGTGCATGTGTCACGTAGTTCTCGTGCCATGGTTTTCAGCTCCATCAGGTCATTTAAGGTCTTCTCTATGCTGTTTATTCTAGTTAACCATTTGTCTAATTTTTCTTCAAGGTTTTTAGCTTCTTTGCCATGGGTTCGAACATCCTCCTTTAGCTTGGAGAAGTTTATTATTACCAATCGTCTGAAGCCTTCTTCTCTCAACTCATCAAAGTCATTCTCCATCCAGCTTTGTTCCATTGCTGGTGAGGAGCTGAATTCATTTGGAAGAGAAGAGGTGGTCTGATTTTTAGAATTTTCAGTTTTTCTGCTCTGGTTTCTCCCCATCTTTGTGGTTTTATCTACCTTTGGTCTTTGATGATGGTGACATACAGATGGGGTTTTGGTGTGGATGTCCTTTCTGTTTTTTAGTTTTCCTTCTAACAGTCAGGACCCTCAGCTGCAGGTCTGTTGGAGTTTGCTGGAGGTCCACTCTGGACCCTATTTGCCTGGGTATCACCAGCAGAGGTTGCAGAACAGCAAATATTGCAGAATGGCAAATGATGCTGCCTGATTCTTCCTCTGGAAGCTTCGTCTCAGAGGGGCACTCGGCCATATGAGGTGTCAGTCTGCCCCTACTGGGAAGTGCTTCCCAGTTAGGCTACTCGGGGGTCAGGGACCCACTTGAGGAGGCAGTCTGTTTATTCTCAGATCTCAAACTCTGTGCTGGCAGAACCACTACTCTCTTCAAAGCTGTCAGACAGGGACATTTAAGTCTGCAGAAGTTTCTGCTGCCTTTTGTTTAGCTATGCCCTGCTCCAGGAGGTGGAGTCTATAGAGGCAGGCAGGCCTCCTTGAGCTGCAGTGGGTTCCACCCAGTTCAAGCTTCCTGGCCACTTTGTTTACCTACTCAAGCCTCAGCAATGGCAGACTCCCCTCCCCCAGCCTCTCTGCCACCTTGCAGTTCAATCTCAGGCTCCTGTGCTAGCAGTAAGCTAGGCTCCATGGGCATGGGACCCTCTGAGCCATGTGTGGGATATAATCTCCTGGTGTGCTGTTTGCTAAGACTGTTGGAAAAAGTGCAGTATTAGGATGGGAGTGTCCCGATTTTCCAGGTACCATCTGTCACGGCTTCCCTTGGCTAAGAAAGGGAATTCCCTGACCCCTTGTGCTTCCTGGTTGAGGCAATGCCCTGCCCTTCTCCGTGGGCTGCACTCACTGTCAGACAAGCCCCAGTGAGATGAACCCAGTACCTCAGAGGGATATGCAGAAATCACCAGTCTTCTGCATCGCTCACACTGGGAGCTGTAGCCTGGAGCTGTTCCTATTTGGCCATCTTGGAACCTCCTCTCTTCTCCTAAATCTTTAACTGAGGAATCACTTTTAACAGTGAAAGTACTGCCATTCATTCTATGAACAATAGATACTTGGGGATGAGATCTGTGAGGGTACTACAATCTCATGCCCCCATCTCATGCTCACTCTTGGACATAATTTCTCCAAGTAAAATATCAGATGGGCTCAATGTTAGCTGTTCAAGATTTTTCTCTCTCTTTCTTCCTCACTGTTTAACTTTTTTTTTTTTTCTCATTTCATTCTTGTTTCCCAGGCTAGAGTGCAATGGCATGATCTTGGCTCATGGCAACATTTTCCCATGAGTTGTTTAGTTGAATTTCCACAGTTAAATGTAACTTCACTGTAACCCAATTAAGGCAGTATTTCTAAACCAGAGCCCTGGGGACATCACAGGAAGATGCACTGCATACTTGCAGAACCACTAATAGTTTTGTTTCCTGACACATAGGGGATTAATGAGGTATTTATAGAGAAAACATTGAAATGATCTACCATTCATGGCATTGTGTTTTTGAGGAAATATTAGTTAAGCCTGAAAACATATATAGCCAAGCTTTATAACTGATCCTTTATTGAAAGTAAGATCTACCTGTGTGGGAACTGTACACTTGGGGAAGCTCATTTGTGTCTCCTGACTTCACATTCGGGTATATCTGAAAAGAGATTCAATTTTCTGAATTCCCTACATTTGTGCCTGGCCCTTTCTCTCAAACTAAAATTTTGTCTTTCCTCTTTCCTATTTTTTTGTATTACCCAATACCTAATGAAAAGTTTTGGAATATCTTTGATCTTGCATATAGTAGATTTTCAAATTTTAATTATTGATTAAATAAATTAATGCATCAGTGAATGAATGAATGAACAATGACCAGAAAAGTTGATTTTTTTTTTTTAGCAAATTTAAAACTTACTCTTTTAGCTCCAAACAGTGAGGGGCAGCATTGTAACAAATCACTCTTGTGATTAGTAGATAACATTTCTTCTCTCTTTGTTTCTTGGAGATGCAGTCACCACCCTCCCCGCAGCCCCCAAGATCTCCAAGACCTCTCCTTTCTTAAAGTTGTGTTTCCAGGAAATTGAAAAGCCAGGCCCCTATCCTGATTAACCCATTTCCCTGGCCTTTGGATAAACATGGTGTTGCATCTTCCTCTAGAAAAACAGACTGCATGCATGCCTAAATCTGTCTAAATCAATCTCTGTTTCTGTCTCTCTCTGTCCTCTCTGCCTTTTCTTTTTCTCCTAATTCATCAGTAAGATATCAAATCCTTCTTTAGACTTCTCAACTGTAGCCTCATTATCTCTTAATGATTAAACTCCATACCTCTTCAGCAACTTCTCCCGGAATTCTGCGGATCGTCTAAATCTCTTTGCAACATTTCAAAATTTATTTACATAATATTCTGTGAACTTGCTTTTCTGCCATTAGGGCATGGTAAACCTTTGCCATTCATTTGACTGCTTCTTTCGATTCAACTATTTTCCTTTGCTTGTGAGATGCCAAACTCTCAAGAACAGGGCACTGCCAGGGGATGGCTGGCTGTTGTACGGTTATCAAGAAACACACACAACTCCCCTTTAGGCTTTAAGGGCAGAGGCAAGTGGTTGAAATAAGCTGACATGTATTAAATGCCTATTTTGTAATAAACACATACATACACACAATTTGATTTTATCATCATAACAAATCTATACTTTTGATACTATTATTCCCTTTTTATAGAAGATAAAATGAAGCCTTGAGAGATGCCTCACACACAGGGGCAGATCACAGTCTTGAAGGGGTAGGATTCGATCTCAAACCTCTCCATTCTGAAGGCCATAAATTTTTACTTTACCTTGCCTCTTGTTAAAATAATACTTTACCTAAAATACATATACCACTATCTAGTTTCAGAACTTTTTCTTTGTGGGGGGAGGCCAAATGGACCCTCTCTACCCATTTAGCAGTAATTTCTCATAATGGTGATAGTTGAACAATGTTAAGAATATACTTAACCACTAAATGTAGAAATTAAAATGGTTAAAAAGGTAAATTTTATATTATTTATATTTTATCACAATAAACACACACACACATATACACAAATTTCAAGTCTTTCTTTTCCCACTTTTTCTCATAACTTCCTTTCTTTAAAGGTTATGTCAATAATTACAGAGACCAGGATGAAATACTTAAGCTGGTTTCATTAAATTAAAGTATTGTGTACTGGTCTCTCTTTATTATCTGCATTATGACTTTACTTGGTTAACTATAGATTTTTATGTTACAGGCACAGAGATAATATTATCACTTATCAAAAGCTACACCTCACAAGGGGACGGCAATGGATTTTAAAACCCTAAAGTTTCCCACGATTAGAATGTCCTTCCTCAGAGAGAAATGCACTGTTTGAAGAAAGAATTTCCTCGTATTTTATTTGGTCTGTTGGATACAGAATGAATCTTAGGGCCTTTGCTTGGATTTCTATTTGACAAGCCCTTGACATAATGTTGATGACTTCCAAATCTCTTTTCCAGCCTACAGCCCCCTCCTGAGCCCTTGACTGTATATCCAGCTGCCTACTGGACATCACCATGATATGCCTCAGACACCTGATATTTACCTTGTCCAAAGCTTTACTCATTTTTTATACTCTCAGACCTGCTGCCACTTCTGTATTTTTTTATTTCACTAAAAGATATAACTATCCACTCCACTGTTCAAACAAGAAATCTAGGCATCATTCTCCAATTTTCCTTCTCCACCCACATTGTATCCATCAGTGTGTTCTTTAGAATCTATGAGAGTATCCCTCAAGGCCTATTTCAAAGGATCGGCTTACACACACCCCCAAATGCATGCACAGCAAAGCCTTCCATTTTGATTGCCTAGTATGATGCATTCAGCTAGCTATGTTCTCTGATAAACTGATATCTGGGGCCACAGAATTTGCCTTGGATCTCAACCAAAAGGAGACTTAAGAAGATATATCAACAAAAGATAAAGAATAATGCATCATTTCCTGGGGCCTTTACTACAATATTTTAAGTCTGACTTTTTTGTTGTTGTTCTTGTGATATGAACAGATGTTAAAATGTCAGCCGCCAATCTGATATTCTTTATGCCTGAGGCCTAGATAGACAGCTTCTCCTCAGCTCTCTTGCTCATCACTTCTTAGAAAAGTAATAGTATAGGGGGTGGGGGAGGGAGAGCAACAGGAAGAATAGCTAATAAATGTTGGGCTTCATACCTGGGTGATGAGTTGATCTGCACAGCAAGCCACAATGGCACAAGTTTACCTATGTAACAAACCTACACATCCTGCACATGTACCCTGGAACTTAAAAGTTGAAAAAAAAAAATAGAAAAGGAATTGCAGACCATGTGAGAAATTATTTTAAAATACAAGCAAGTGTGTTTACCTGATATCACATTTTCTCCTACCTATAGGCCAGTGAGACATTCCCCTCCTTCTTTCAGGCAGGATACTCAGAAAATTTAGATTGCCACAACAGCACAATCTTGTTTCTTATATTGCAAAATTTGTGGCCTAGTTGTAAGAATAGAATATTTATAAGAAGACAGGATAATATTCCCCAAACTTGTAAATGATTCTTGTGAACTTCTAATTTGAAGTTGGACATATAAAATAGCCTTTTCTTTATGGTCCAATGGAAACCATGCCAAAACAATAAAGTTAATGAGAATAATAATACACAGTCTTCCAAAAATGTTGGCCATTGTGGAAAGGATGTCAAAAGAAATGAAGAAATAAGAAAGAATTCATAATTAGTCCTTCAACCTTCTACCTGTTTCCATCTACTGGTTACACACAAAAAACAAAAGTAGCCACATGCAATGTCTTGATTTTTGGGGAACATGTCTGTTAATATGAGGCACAGATCTAGCCTTTCATTCAATAAACTTGGTAAAAATAATGACTTCAGAAAATAAATTGCTTCCTTCAGAAATATGTAATCAAAAAAGAACAATCACAGGATGAAAGATTATATGAAAAACAATAAGTAAAGCTAAAGTGCATGGAAAGCTTAGTCACCATAACAATATTAATAATAATGGCATAGAGAGTCCTAAACAAGTATTTCACCGTGAAATTTAAAATTTAATTTAAAAGTCAATAAAATCAAGCAGATATAGGCAGACACAGAAACTTAGGACAAGATGGCAAAACTAGAATAGAATAAAATATGATAAAAGATATAGGAAAAGAAACAGAAGGACAAGAACAATCACAGATATAAAGTCAATATTATTAATAATAGGAGAATATAGATTGCTAAAAAAATGGCATCAAAATGGATCTAAATAACTGTTCTTTAAAGCATTACGAAAAAATGAAAACAGGCAAGGGAGATACCAAAAATGTGTTAATTGGATAACTAAAAATTTTTTTAATTAAATTTATCTTGAACTATATCATTTCAGAAAACTTTCCAGACAGGGACAGAGCAAGGTGGTGGAATAGAAGGCTCCACTGATCATCTCCTCTGCAAGGACACCAAGTTAACAACTATCTATACAGAATAGATTTTGGTTCATTAAGAACTAAAAATCAGGTGAGTGCACATAGCACCTGGATTTAACTTCAAATCGCTACAAGAGGCAGTGAAGTGATAGAAAAAACAGTCCTGAATCTCTAATACCACCCCTCCCTCCCATGTCCTCCACAGAGGTTGGCGTGGTACAGGGAGCCTCTTTGGGCCCTGGGGGAGGGAGAACACAGCAATTGTGAGGCAATGAACTCAGTGCTGTCCTAATAGAGCAGGAGGAAAAGCCAGACCAAACTCAGCTGATGCCTGTCCATGGAGGGTGCATTAAAACCAGCCCTAGTCAGAGGGCAATTGCTGATACCAGTGGCCAGAACAATAGTACTTACAAACCTTGCCACTGAGGGCTACAGCACTCTGTGTCTCCAAGAAAATTTGAAAGGCAGTCTTGGCCATTAGGACTGCAACTCTTAGGCACGGCCTGGTGCTGAACTAGGCCCAGAGACAGTGGACAGGTGGGGCACGCGACATACTGAGACACCAGCTGGGGCAGCCAAGGGAGTGCTGGCATTGTCCCTCCTCTACCCCACGCTGCAAAGCTGATGGCTCCAAAACAGACCTCATCTTTCTGCTTGAGGAGAGGAGATGGAAGAGAGGAGAGGATTTTGTCTTGCATCTTGGATACCAGCTCAGCCACAGCAAGATAGGGCACTGGCCAGAGTTGTGAAGCCCCTGTTTCAGACCCTACCTCCCAGACATTTCTAGACACACCCTGGGCCAGAAGGGAACCCACTGCTTTGAAGGAAAGGACCCAGTGCTGGCAGCATTCATCATCTGAAAACTAAAGAGCCCTTGGGCCCTGAATAACCAGCAGCAAAACCCAGGTCCTATATTGAGGGCCTTGGGTGAGCCTCTGAAACTTGCTGGCTTCAGGTGAAACTCAGCACTTTTATTTCCAGTCTAGCTGGTGGGAACAGGCATTAGTCTTTCCTCTCTTAGTATAACGGGTACAGCTTCCTCTAATTTATTTCAGGTGGTTCTTTTCCCAGTCTTAATAGTTTTCTGATATGAATGTATTATATTACCCAGTAGTTTGTTGAATATAGAAATTCTCTGCGGAATCTTGTGCAGTTCTACAGAGCCTTGCTCTGTATCGCCTTATTATACTGTGTCCAGTGAGCTTTAGCCATTGTAGTTTTCTTAGACTGAATTTCATCTCTGCTTAATAATTCTTCCAGGTATTCCTGGCTTCACAGTCCCTCACTATGGCATGGAAATGCTCTCAAAGCATTAAGCATGGGCAATAAGAGGACCCATTCATTTATTTTCCATCTCCTAGTGACCACTGGACTTCATTTTCTGATGTCTAGTGTCTAAAAAGGCATTTTCACTTATGTAAATTGTCCCTAACTTGAGTTTTGAAGAAAAGGATAATTGAGTTTGATAGGCAGTATAAATAAATATACTTAGAACTCATAAGTACACGTAGGACTCCAACCATAATTGGGTATGAGTAAATTTAAGAACAAAAAGATAAACATTAAGAAAATTGGTGAAATTAATACAGCAATTAATTTCAAAGGTGATTGGTGAAATTAAAGGTAAAAAGAAACAGAAAGAAAGATAAAACGTTAATGTGTAGATGATATACTCTAAAAAATAGAGTTTTGCCGTGCACAGTGGCTCACGCCTGTAATCCCAGCACTTTGGGAGGCCGAGGCGGGCAGATCACAAGGTCAGGAGATCAAGACCATCCTGGCTAACACGGTGAAACCCCGTCTCTACTAAAAATGCAAAAAATTAGCCAGGCGTGGTGGCCAGCACCTGTAGTCCCAGCTACTTGGGAGGCTGAGGCAGGAGAATGGCATGAACCTGGGAGGCGGAGTTTGCAGTGAGCCGAGATCGCACCACTGCACTCTAGCCTGGGCAAAAGAGTGAGACTCTATCTCAAAAAAAAGAAAACAAAATAGAGTTAGAGCTACTATATAAAAGTATAATAATATACCAGAACAATATACCAAACTTCCTTCTTTTTTTTTTTTTTTTGAGAGACAGTGTCTTGCTCTAATGCCCAGGCTGGAGTGCACTGCTCACTGCAGCCTTGATCTCCTGAGCTCTAGTAGTTCTCCCACTTCAGCCTCCCCAGTAGCTGGGACTACAGGCACATACCACCATGCCTAATTTAAAAACAAATATATTTTGTAGAGATGAGGTCTCATTATGTTGCTTAGGCTGGTATTGAACTCCTTGGCTCAAGAATTCCTCCTGCCTCGACCTCTCAAAATGCTGGGTTTATGGGTGTGAGCCACTGTGTGTGGCCAAAACTTTCCATTGTTAAAATAATAACACAAATCTGAAAATAAAACACAAACTGACATTACTGAACTAAAAGCAAACATATCTAATATCACTAAATGTAAATATGACAAATTTCTCTATAAAGCAAAATAATTTATATTAAATCACAAGGCAAAACTTCAATTTGAAGTCATGTAAAATAGATACACATAAAACAATTTGCCTTAGAATCAAATAAAATATAAAATTTGACCATAGGATGCAGACAACTACATACAAAATTTAATAATGAAGGTTTGCAGTCTTAACAATAGGAAAAGCTGATTTGACTCAAAAATTGTTAAATAAAACATAAGTTATTATTGGCACCAAAAATTGAAAAAAACTGATTATATATATATGTATGTATATATATATATGATTATATAAAATAATATACATGTTTAAAGAAAAAATATATCAACATAGAAAAAAGATACATTAGTCTGTAAACATATAAAGATATAGAAAACAAAGCAACATATTTAACAACTTATATAAGAATTAAATGTACTTATATAATAATTTTTACTGTGGAAGCACAGAATACACTTTATTTTCTTTTTTGTTATGCAAATTTTTAAAGACACTTCTTTCAAAAAAATGGGATACATGTGCAGAACGTGCAGGTTTATCACATAGGTATACGTGTGTCATGGTGGTTTGCTGCACCTGCTGACCTGTCCTCTAAGTTCCCTCCCCTCAACCGCCATCCCCCAACAGGCCCTGATGTGTGTTGTTCCCCTCTCTGTGTCCACGTGTTCTCATTGTTCACCTCCCACTTATGAGTGAGAACATGAGGTATTTGGTTTTCTGTCCCTGTATTGGTTTGCTTATGATGATGGCTTCCAGCTTCATCCATGTCCCTGCAAAGGACATGATCTCATCCTTTTTATGGCTGCATAGTATTCCATGGTGTATATGTACCACATTTTATTTATCCAGTCTATCATTGATGGGCATTTGGGTTGGTTCCATGTCTTTGCTATTGTAAATAGTGCTGCAATAAACGTATGAGAATACACTTTATATTTTCAAGAGTTCAGGACACATTTACAATAATTGGCCACATTTTGGACAACAAAGTAAATGTCAATAAATTAAATGAAGTAAAATGGTATACATGAAAGTTTCTGATCACAATTTAGTAAAACTAAAAATTATAAGAAAACTAGAATAAAATGAAGCCAGCATTAGAATTACAGGAAATGTGAACATATATATTAAGTCTCATATCAGAGAGGATATTTCAACTGTATTTTTAAAATATATATTAAAAAGTTGTGCTATTCTGTTTCCAGTATGACCAAGAAAGTTCCTATCACACCAACTTTCTGATAAATAACAACTATAAATTCTGGAAAAAAGTAACATATCTACCTAAAGGCAATAGAGAGTGAACAATATCTGCAGTCATTGGAGGAGTGTTGGCACTTGAAAGAAGAAAATGAAATTGAATGAAATTCCATGATTTATTTTTTACAGACTGTAGCTTGAGAGTAGGCCATAGCCAATGCTTTCTATGGTAATTCAGACTGTGAAGAATATGTGTAGTCTTACTGACTTGAAAAACCAGAGTTTGAGGCAAATATTGCCACTAGCAAATAAAGAGTAAGTCCCAGAAAACAGAGAGTAAGAGTTAAAGAGCCCCACATTCTGTGATAAAGTCTTCCCTGCAAAAAGCCCACTGGAATTCAGTAAACATCAGAATTATGATGACAAAAGAAATGGTAAGAAAATTTGAAGATTTTAAATAAAAAGTATCCAACTTGAAGAACAGAATAAAAGATAAAAGACTAGATACCTAGAAACACGGCTTCATGTACTTGTGAAACAATATAAAAAGATGTAACATACCAGTAATTGGAGTCCCAGAAAAGAAAAAAGAGAAAATGAGGCAAGAAAAAAATGGCCAAAAAGTTTACAAATTTGGTGAAAAGCATAAATTTACAAATTTGAGAAGTTTAATGAATACAAAGCAGGATTAATAAGATGAATAACTATATATAGGTATGGGCAATAATACTAACATTGTAATGTAACTATTTTATTTATGTAAAGATAATACATACAACAATTTTAGTGCAAAATTTTGTGGGGAGATAAATGGTCATGCATGGTTACAGGTTTCCCCTGTTTACTTGAAGTGGTTCAATATTAGCTTTAAATAAGCTGTAAAAAGTTAACCCACATTATTGCCTATGTCAAGCATTAGAAAAATAATGCAAAAAGGTGTGGCAAAATGCAATCAATAATTTAAAATGAAATTTCAAGAAAGAGTCAAACAATTCAAAAGGCAGCCAAGGGTAAACAGAGAAAGGGAAATCTAAGAAAACAAAGAATAAAATGAATATTACTAGTTTATTTTAAACGTTTTATTGTTTGTTTAATTATTTTACGATTAACATAAAATCATTAAAATAATATAAATATTACAACATATGTGAACTATAAAATAATTTAATAAAATATTTATTATTAATGTTTATTTTAAATATTATTTATATTCTTTAAATGTTATTTAAATGTTACAAAATTAAATGCAGAGGTTGTCAAATGGTCACAAAAAGCATTATTTGCCTGCATACTGTGTACAAGAAATATCTTAACTATAAAAGCAAATATAGGTAGAAAATAAATGATAAACAGAAGACGTATCATGTGGACAATCAGCATAAAAAGGCTGATTGTCACTAGCAAATAAAGAGTAAGCCCTAGAAAACAGAAAATAAGGTTAAAGAGCCCCACATTCTGTGATAACTATATTAATATCACATAAAATATACCTTAAGGCAATGTTAGCTGACAGAGATAAAAAAAGAATATTTTATAATGATAAAAATGTCAATTCAAGTATAAGATATACAAATTATATTTGTAAAGTCACATGAAGCACAACTGATAGAATTAAAGATAGAAATAGCCGATTCTAAAGTCACTTTTGAAAATCTCAACATTTAGAAATTTCTAACCTAAAAATTTCTAAAGCAGCTACTTTAATAAGTCAATTTAACAGTGTCACAGAACACAAGGTTAATATAAAAAAATAAATACCTATATTTATATACCAAAAGCAAAGGAATCAAATATGAAAGAAAAACATTTATTCCCTTAAAATATCACCAACAAGCTAAATTAAGAGATGCATTTAACAACACTTATCTAAAAGCCATACACTGCAAATTACAAAAATACTACTGAGAAAGATTAAAAAACAGGAAAGTAATGAAATGACATACTGTTTAGAGACTCAGTATTTATAAGATGTTGATTACTCCAAAATTGATCTATAAGACTCATGCAATTCCAAACAATATTTCTAACAAGTTTGCATTGTAGCAATTGGTTAATTCTAAAATTAATATTTATATAAAATGGCCCCAAATATTAAAATAATCTTAAGAATAAACGAAGTTGAAAGACTTACACTACCTGACTTTAAGATTTACAATAAATCTACAGTAATCAAAAGAGAGTGATAGTTACATAGGGTAAAAATCTAGAATAATTTAGCATAAGAGAGATCCCAAAAATAGACTTAAAATTTTATGTGATTTTTGATAAAGATGCCAAAGCAATCCAATAGGAGAATGAAAATATTTTCAAGAAATGGTACGGTAGCATTTGGATATTTATAAAAAATCACTTCAATCTTTACCTCACAGTACACATAAAAATTACTTTAAGATATATGCAAAAACTAAATATATTAGCTAAGTCAGTAAAGTTTTTATAATGAAAAATAAAAGTAGAAGGCTATATTTATGACTTAGAGGCATGCAATCTCAACTTATAAATAGCAAAATAAAAACACGTTAAAAACAATAAACTAACTTCATTATAATAGAAAAATCTGATTATAAAAGGACACAAGAAAATAAACAGACATGCTACAGGCTAAGAGAAAATATTCACAAATATATCTGACAAAAGACTGGTATATAGCATTTATAAATAGTTGATGCTGCTCAATATTATAAAGATGAAAACCTCAATTAAATAATGGGTAAAATATTTGAACAGAGAGTTCACAAAGCAAGATATTGAGAAACAGGAATCACATGAAAAATTTTCAATATTGTTATTTATCATGGAAATGCAAATAAGACCACAATGAAATCCACTACATATTCATCAGAATATTTAACATTAAAAATGCTGAGAATACGAAATGATTGTGAAGATGTGAAGGAAACAGACCTTTCATATTTTTGAGGTAGAAGTGTAAAATGTTAAAAAAAAAAAGACAACTCACACACTAGAAATGTCAAAAAGAACAAATCACACATTCTAGCAAATGTTATTGAGAATGTGGCACAACCAGAGCTTTCATCCATTTTTGGCAGGTTTGTCACTTGGTATAAACAGCTTGGAAAGCTGAAGCTGAATTTATGCATGCTTTATGATCTAGTGATTTATCTCCTAGGAATAGGCATATATGTCCAGGAAAAGAATATATTTAATATATTCATTTTGATCAGTTTAGACATTTTTTTAAAGAACACTTAATATGAGATCTATCCCCTTAAAATATTTTAATATACACAATACCGTATTGTTAATTATAGATACTGTGTCATACAACAGAACTCTATTTGTTGATCTGATGGATTGTTACACAAATATGAAAAATTGTCAAGCTGTATACTTATGCTTTGTGCCCTTTTCTGAAGATAGGTTTTACTTCAATAAAATTTTACTTTAAAACAGAACCACTGGGAGTAATGTCAGCAAAGTGGTAGATTAGGCGGCCCCAAGCTCTCATCCTTCCACAAGAACATTGATAAACAACCAGAAACTCAGAATGAATTTTGTCAGAACGCTGGAAAACAGTTCAAAGTTTGCAAGGAAGTAAGGGCTGAAATAAGTAAAAGGCAACTTGAAAATGACAGGCAAGCATTCTGAACCACAGTGTTTTTTTGTTTGTTTGTTTTGAGACAGAGTCTCTTTCTGTCTCCCAGAATGGAGTGCAGTGGCGTGATCTCGGCTCACTGCAAGCTCTGCTTCCCAGGTTCACGCCATTCTCCTGCCTCAGCCTCCCAAGCAGCTGGGACTACAGGTGCCCGCCACCATGCCCGGCTAATTTTATTTTATTTTTTGTATTTTTAGTAAAGGCAGGGTTTCACCATGTTAGCCAGGATGGCCTCGATCTCCTGACCTCGTGATCTGCCCACCTCAGCCTCCCAAAGTGCTGGGATTACAGATGTGAGCCACCTCACCCAGCCAAACCACAGTGTTTTAACTCACTCCTGTCCCATTCCCCTTTTCATGTGGCAGATCTTAAAGCAGCAGCAGCCAAGTGTGGATCCTGGTCACTGAGTCCAGAGGCAGTAGGGCAGATCTTATTCTCAAATTATTATGTGTGTCTCTTGTAAAAACTGATATGAGATGTTTACCTTTGTTTTACTTAACTTGGAACTCAGGGTAGAAAAGTGGTAGTCATTGTTCAGTAAAACCGTAAGGTAAACTAACTACCTGCAGATGCCTAGGCTAAAAGATTACAGTTGAGACATATATTAAGCCTTCTAAAGCCCTGGAAGAACAGCTGGGGAGAGTCTTTGAGGAATTAGGATATTCAAAAGTACCCATGTATAATATGATGGAGTTTAGAAAGCAACATGCATGCCCAGGCAAGGCACAGGCTCAAAATACCTAAAAAGACCCAAAGCTTTCTCCTGGTGGTGGTCTCTCAGTTTGATGCAAGCCTGGCTGCATGTTAGAGTGCCCCAGAATAGAGCCAATCTGCAAACACTGGAAGAAGTATTTGGTTTTCTGGTGTTCAAGGAAGTTTCTGGCAATATATTAGCTGAACACCAGATAAAGAAGTAGTGACATCAGTGACTGCACACAAGAAGACATACTGTATTTGCAAAAATAGTTTGGAAAATTTATTAAATAAATGGACTACTATAGTCTTCAACAATCAATGAAACAGTAAAATCTGGGGAGGGGAGAGAATCTGATTTCCAAAGTTACCATATTATATTATTCAAAAATCCAGTATTCAACCAAAAAAAAAATGACAAGGTATGCCAAAAAATAGGAAAGTATGACACATTAAATGGAACAAAAAATACAGAAACTATCCCTGAAGAAGCTCAGACATTGAGCTTAACAAAGACTGTAAATCAACTATTTTAAATATGTTCAAAAAGTTGGAGAAAATACAAACAAAGAACTAAGGAAAATCTACAAAAATGAACAAAATAAAAATACCAGTAAAAAGATAGACAAAAAAATTAAATTAATTCTGGAACTGAAAAGTGTAAAAACTAAAACACAAAATTTACTGAAGGAGTTCAACACAGATTGGAGCAGGCAGGAGAAACAATTTGTAAATTTGAAAGCAAGGCAGGCTGAGCATGGTGGCTCACGTCTGTAATCCCAGCACTTTGGGAGGCTGAGGTGGGTGGATCACTTGAGGTCAGGAGTTTGAGACCAGCCTGGTCAGGGTGGTGAAACCCCATCTCTACTAAAAATACAAAAAAAAAAAAATTAGCCAGGCGTGGTGGTTCATGCCCATAGTCCCAGCTACCTGGGAGGCTGAGGCAGGAGAATGGCTTGAACCTGGGAGGCAGAGGTTACAGTGAGCCAAAATTGTACCATTGCACTCCAGCCTGGGTGACAGAGCAAGACTCCGTCTCAGAAAAAAAGAAAGAAAGAAAAGAAAAGAAAACAAGACAATTAAAGTTATTGAGTCTGAGGAGCAGAAAGAAAAAAAAGAGTGAGAAAATGGTGAACAGAGCCTGAGAAATCTATGGGACACCACAAAGTAGACCAACACTTACCTTATTAGAAAGGGAAACAAGTAGAGAGAATCTTTGAAGAAATAATGGCTAGAAACATACCAAATTTGATGAAAGACATGGATCTACTAATCCTACAAGCTCAATGAACTCCATGCAGGATAAACTAAAGTAGACCTACATTAAGATACATTATAATCAAACCGGCTAAAGCCAAAGACAGAAAGATCTTAAAAGTAGCAAGACAAAAAGAAGCAACTTATTATATACAACACATGGTAATATTAAACAATTTCTCATCAGTAGTCATAGATATAGTAAGTAATGAATAACATATTTAAAGTGTTGAAAGAAAAAGTTGTCAACAAATAATTCTATATTAGGGAAAAATGAAGGAGAAATCAAGACATTCCTAGATTAAAAAAAAAAAAAACTGAGCAAGTTCTTCAACACCAAACCTGCCCTAAAAGAAATCCTAAAATGAGCCCTTAAGATTAAAATGAAGGGATACCAGCCAGTAACTCAAAGCCATGTGAAGTATAAAGATCTCCAGTAAAAGTAAATATATGGACAAATAGAAAAGCCAATATCACTGTACTTTTGTTTACAACTTTACTTTTTATTTTCTATGTGACTTAAATCCAGAAAAATAATGATAAATCTATGTTATTAGACACACAATGTGTAGTCAGGCATCACTTAACAATGAGGATACATTCTGAGAATTGTGTTGTTAGGTGATTTTGTTATTGTGCAACATCATGGTATACTTACACAAACCCATATGCTATAGCCTACTACATCATACCCATGGTAAGTAGGATAGCCTATGGTTCCTATGCTACAAACCTGTGTAGCTCATTAGTGTACTGAATACTGCAGGCAATTGTAACACAATGGTAAATATTTGTGTATGTAAACCTATCTAAACATAGAAAAATACAGTAAAAATACAAAATGAAAAAGATGATACATCTGTATATAGTACTTAACCATAAATGGCACCTGCAGGACTGGAACTTGCTTTGGATGAGTCAGTGAGTGAGTGGTGAGTGAATGTGTGAAGATCTAGGACATTACTGTATACTATTATAAACTTAGGCTAAATTAAATGTATAAGAAAATATTTTGCTTTTTCTCAATGATAAATTAACCTTAGCTTATTGTAACAATTTTACTTTACAAACATTATAATTTTTTAAAGTTTTTGACTCATTTGTAATAACACAGCTTTAAACACACTGTACAGCTGTACAAAAATATTTATTTACATCTTTACTCTATAAGCTTTCTTCTATTTAAAAATGTTTTGTTTTTACTTTTTAAACTTTTTTCAAAAACCTAAATGACAAACACACACATTAGCCTAGGCCTACACAGGATAAGGATCATTAATATCACCCCCCTCCATCTCCACATCTTGTCACATTATAAGTTCTTCAGGGGCAACAACAAGCATGGAGCTATCATCTCCTATAACAGCAATGCTTTCTTCTAGAATACCTCCTCAAGGACTGCCTGAGGCTGTTTTACAGATAAGTTTGTGGGTTTTTTTTTTATAAGTAGAAGGAGTATATTCTAAAACATTTACCCAAAGAAGATATACAAATGGGCAGTAGTCACAAGAAATGATACTTAACATCAACAGTCATCAGAGAAACACAAATCAAAACCACAATGATGTATCACTTTATACCTACTAGGATCACTATAATCAAACAAAATGGGAAATGACAAATGCTGATGCGAATGTGGAGAAATTGGAACCTTTGTACATTGCTGGTGGGAATGTAAAAAGCTGCATCTGGCTGGGACATAGTTTGGTGGTTCCTCAAAAAACTAAATATACAATTACCATATGACCGAGTAATTCCACTCCTAGGTATACATCCCAAAGAACTGAAAGCAGGAATTCAAAGTAATGTTTGTATGACCATGTTCATTGCAACATTTACTACAAAGCCAAGAGGTGAGAAAAACCCAAGTGCCCATCATCAGATGAATGAATAAACTAAATGTGGTATATACACAATGAAATATTATTCAAGCCAAAAACAAGTGAAGTTTCAATATATTCTACAACATGAATGGACCTTAAAAACATTATGGTAAGTGAAATAAGCTAGATAGAGAGACAGATAGAAAGAGCGAGGGAGGGAGGGAGGAAAAGAGGAAGAAGAAGAGAGAAAGAAGAGAGATAAGGTTAACGAGTAATTGTAAATTACGTAATAGTGGTTTTAAACTCTAAAACTTAAAAAGGGATTCTTTGTCCCAGAGGATTTTTGGAAATGTGTTGCCATAACAGCTTAGAATGCTGCCTATATGTAGCAGTCCTGTACAATGTAGAACTTCCCACCCAAAAGTTCAATAAGTAAGTCTCCTTTAAGTAAAAAGGAAATACTCTAAAATACTACTGAGAGACATGAAAGGGAGAAATAGAAAATGATATTATAATCTTAAGTAGAACATTCAGCATCATAAAGATGGAAGTTTTCTCCATTATTTCATATCTTTAATATATTTCAAATTTTATACAGATAGATGGGTGGATAGATCAGTATATATACAAGTATATATATAAAATAATTCAATATCCATATATATCAATATATACATTAACCAAAATATATATCAATACATACACAACAAAAATTGACTTCAAAAATATGTATCAATGCAAATTCAAAAATAATCAATAGAGATATTTTGTATATATTATATATTATTTTAAAATTATAGACCTCAATGATTGCCATTCTAACTGGTGTGAGATGGTATCTCATGTGGTTTTGATTTGCATTTCTCTGATGACCAGTGATGATGAGCATTTTTTCATGTGTCTGTTGGCTGCATAAATGTCTTCTTTTGAGAAGTGTCTGTTCATATCCTTTGCCCATTTTCTTATGGGGTTGTTTGATTTTTTTCTTGTAAATTTGCTTAAGTACTTTGTAGATTCTGGATATTAGCCCTTTGTCAGATGAGTAGATTGCAAAAACTTTCTCCGATTCTGTAGGTTGCCTGTTTACTCCGATGGTAGTTTTTTTTGCTGTGCAGAAGCTCCTTAGTTTAATTAGATCCCATTTGTCAATTTTGGCTTTTGTTGCCATTGCTTTTGGTGTTTTAGACATGAAGTCCTTGCCCATGCCTGTGTCCTGAATGGTATTGCCGAGGTTTTCTTCTAGGGTTTTTATGGTTTTAGGTATGATATTTAAGTCTTTAATCCATCTTGAATTAATTTTTGTATAAGGTGTAAGGAAGGGATCCAGTATCAGCCTTCTGTATATGGCTAGCCAGTTTTCCCAGCACCATTTATTAAATAGGATATCCTTTCCCCATTTCTTGTTTTTGTCAGGTTTGTCAAACATCAGATGGTTGTAGATGTGTGGTATTATTTCTGAGGGCTCTGTTCTGTTCCATTGGTCCATATCTCTGTTCTGGTACCAGTACCATGCTGTTTTGGTTACTGTAGCCTTGTAGTATAGTTTGAAGTCAGGTAGCATGATGCGTCCAGCTTTGTTCTTTTGGCTCAGGATTGTCTTGGTTATGCGGGCTCTTTTTTGGTTCCATATGAACTTTAAAGTAGTTTTTTCCAATTCCGTGAAGAAAGTCATTGGTAGCTTGATGGGGATAATATTGAATCTATAAATTACCTTGGGCAGTATGGCCATTTTCATGATATTGATTCTTCCTATCCATGAGCATGGATGGGAATTGTATCCTTAGTTATTTGTGTCCTCTTTTATTTCCTTGAGCAGTGGTTTGTAGTTCTCCTTGAAGACGTCCTTCACATCCTTTGTAAGTTGGATTCCTAGGTATTTTATTCTCTTTGAAGAAATTGTGAATGGGAATTCACTCATGATTTGGCTCTCTGTTTGTCTGTTATTGGTGTATAGGAATGCTTGTGATTTTTGCACATTGATTTTGTATCCTGAGAATTTGCTGAAGTTGCTTATCAGCTTAAGGAGATTTTGGGCTGAGACGATGGAGTTTTCTAAATATACAATCATGTCATCTGTAAACAGGGACAATTTGACTTCCTCTTTTCCTAATTGAATACCCTTTATTTCTTTCTCCTGCCTGATTGCTCTGGCCAGAACTTCCAACACTATGTTGAATTGGAGTGGTGAGAGAGGGCATCCCTGTCTTGTGCCAGTTTTCAAAGGGAATGCTTCCAGTTTTTGCCCATTCAGTATGATATTGGCTGTGGGTTTGTCCTAAATAGCTCTTATTATTTTGAGATACATCCCATCAATTCGTAGTTTATTGAGAGTTTTTAGCATGAAGTGCTGTTGAATTTTGTCAAAGGTCTTTTCTGCATCTATTGAGATAATCATGTGGTTTTTTTCTTTGGTTCTGTTTATGTGATGGATTATGTTTATTGATTTTCATACATTGAACCATCCTTGCATCCCAGAGATGAAGCCCAGTTAATCATGGTGGATAAGCTTTTTGATGTGCTGCTGGATTCAGTTTGCCAGTATTTTATTGAGGATTTTTGCATCGATGTTCCTCAGGGATATTGGTCTAAAATTCTCTTTTTTTGTTGTGTCTCTGCCAGGCTTTGGTACCAGGATGATGCTGGCCTCATAAAATGAGTTAGGGAGGATTCCCTCTTTTTCTATTGATTGGAATAGTTTCAGAAGGAATGGTACCAGCTCCTCTTTGTACCTCTGGTAGAATTCAGCTGTGAATCCATCTGGTCCTGGACTCTTTTTGATTGGTGGGCTGTTAATTATTGCCTCAATTTCAGAACCTGTTATTGGTCTATTCAGAGATTCAACTTCTTCCTGGTTTAGTCTTGGGAGGGTGTATGTGTCCAGGAATTTATCCATTTCTTCTAGATTTTCTAGTTTATTTGCATAGAGGTGTTTATAATATTCTCTGATGGTAGTTTGTATCTCTGTGAGATGGGTGGTGATATGCACTTTATCATTTTTTATTGCATCTATTTGATTCTTCTCTCTTTTCTTCTTTATTAGCCTTGCCAGCTGTCTATCAATTTTGTTGGTCTTTTCCAAAAACCAGCTCCTGGATTCATTGATTTTTTGAAGCGTTTTTTGTGTCTCTATCTCCTTCAGGTCTGCTGTGATCTTAGTTATTTCTTGCCTTCTGCTAGCTTTTGAATGTGTTTGCTCTTGCTTCTCTAGTTCTTTTAATTGTGATGTTAGGGTGTCAATTTTAGATCTTTCCTGCTTTCTCTTGTGGGCATTTAGTGCTGTAAATTTCCCTCTACACACTGCTTTAAATGTGTCCCAGAGATTCTGGTATGTTGTGTTTTTGTTCTCATTGATTTCAAAGATCATCCTTAAAAAGTCAGGAAACAACAGGTGCTGGAGAGGATGTGGAGAAATAGGAACACTTTTACACTGTTGGTGGGACTGTAAACTAGTTCAACCATTGTGGAAGACAGTGTGGCAATTCCTCAAGGATCCAGAACTAGAAATACCATTTGACCCGGCAATCCCATTACTGGGTATATACCCTAAGGATTATAAATCATGCTGCTGTAAAGACACATGCCCATGTATATTTATTGCGGCAGTATTCACAATAGCAAAGACTTGGAACCAACCCAAATGTCCATCAATGATAGACTGGATGAAGAAAATGTGGCACATATACACCATGGAATACTATGCAGCCATAAAAAAGGTTGAGTTCATGTCCTTTGTAGGGACATGGATGAAGCTAGAAACCATCATTCTGAGCAAACTATCGCAAGGACAGAAAACCAAACACCGCATATTCTCACTCATCGGTGGGAATTGAACAATGAGAACACTTGAATACAGGGTAGGGAACACCACACACTGGGGCCTCTCATGGGGTGGGGGCAGCGGGGCAGCGGGGCAGTGGAGCAGCGGGGAGGGATAGCATTAGGAGATATACCTAATGTAAATGACGAGTTAATGGGTGCAACACACCAACATGGCACATGTATACATATGTAACAAACCTGTATGTTTTGCACATGTACCCTAGAACTCAAAGTATAATAATAAAAAAAATTATAGACCTCAAATATTATTTATATATTTTGCTTTCACCATTGTGTAACCATAAAAGCAAACATTGAAGTCCACATTGAAAAATAAAAAATCAAGTATAATCCTGAAAATTCTGAGATCTCATGCAATTAGTAAGAACAAACTCAAGCAGATACTGATACGTACTGTAAAGCCAACAAAACATTGTGGCACTGGCACATGAATAGACAAACAATGAAAGAAAAAGGATAGAAATGCCTAAAAATTCCCTGGGAATGTAGTGTGTGATATAGATTGAATTTCAAATCACTGAGAAAAATATATTTAATTAATTGTATTGGTAAAACTAGGTAGCTACCTGGAAAAATAATGAAATTGAATTTATATCTCATATGTTATGAGGAAAATAAATTGCAGTTAGATAAAATATTTAAATGGAAAAAACATAACAGGAGTGGAAAATAAAACAGTAGAACAATGGGGACTTACAAAATATCTTTGAATGGGAAGGATATTCAAAGTATGGCACAAAAAATTATAGTTTTTGTCTATCTGGAAAGAAAAACGAAATTTTAATATAGTGTGGTGAAAATACGGTAAAAAAATTAGAAAGTATGGTCCCAAATCTAGAAGCCATAAAAGATTAATAACATGAAAACAAACATGTTAAAAATGTCTTTAGGGAAAGAAATACAATATATGAAGCCAAAACCGTATTTTTAAAAATGTGCAAAATATTTGCAATAAAACTCACAAAGTTCTAATTGCTCTTATGTATAAAGAACAACAAGTTAATAAAATCAATAAAGGAGATGAATGGTAAAAGTAATGCCAATTGCCTTTGACATGCAAAATACTGTTTAGTCTCTAATAACAAGATAAATATGAATTTTTGAATTTTAAAAGGTCACTAAGATACCACTTTCTATTAAAAATGTTCAGATTGTTGGAGAACACAGCATCTAATAACCACTATGCTGGAGATTTTATCAGAAATGGACACTCCCACAAATACAAAAAATTGTATATATATCACAGCATATTTACAATAATTTGTTAAACTCTAATTAGCCAAAATCTAAACATATATCACCAGGTGTCTTGTTTAATGGCTACATGTGAAATAATATGCAGCTCTAATGCCAGAAAATGAGGAAGTTCTTTGTATGCTGATAGGAAACATTCCTCAAGATAAATGTAAGTTAAAAAAAAAAGTAAAGACCTATATGCATGCATGTTAGAACTGTAGGGGGTAAAATCTGCATGTCGTGTGTGTCTGTATATAAAGGATTCCTTGTATATATACACCATATCCTACGAAGGATGCACTAGAAACTCTCATTGTTTGTCTCTGAGAGTCTTCCTTCCCATATTATCCAGTTGAAAGGTGGAATATATACTGCCTCGATTTAGGACAGAAGTTGGTTGTTCCTTTGCGGATATGAGGACTCCCAGTAATCTTTACAGATACCACACTGCCTGTAGATCATCCAGAAGGTTGATAGCTTAAAAATATTTCATCATTGTTCAGTTCCCATCTGTTCCCCTAGTGGGCAAATCCTCCTTCAGCTTTCTGGGGCATTGTCACCATCTTGGAATGGGGTTGTCTGGTCCTAGACATCTAGAGGCAGGTATGGAGGGAGTATTCTTCCTCGCTGGTTAAACTGATACTGGTCAGATCCAGTCTCCTATTTCAATAAGCATGAACAATACTGAAGAAAACACTCCTATTTTTCATGCTCAGAGTTGCCCATGAGTGAGTAGTCAGAGGTCATCTTGGTGAAACTTATTCATTTGTGTAGACTATAAAGTTCACCCAAACAAAGATGGGTAAGTTTCAGAGTCAGGGATGATGAATCTATATATTTAGATTATATATATACATATAACCTGGTCCGGTTCTATATTCCCTTTTCTAGCTATAGTCTGATGGATAGGCATCTATGGTAAGCAGCATTAGCAAAATAGGTACGGTGCATGGCTATTTCATGACTGTGTTTTGAAACCATCACATTCAGGAATTCA
Source organism: Homo sapiens (assembly GCF_000001405.40). Classification (NCBI taxonomy): domain Eukaryota; kingdom Metazoa; phylum Chordata; class Mammalia; order Primates; family Hominidae; genus Homo; species Homo sapiens. The sequence goes on from NC_000010.11 coordinate 83,365,091, forward strand.
ATTCATTTCTGCTTAATGCTATAAATAATCTATTCCATAAAGTAATATGTGTTTTTTTTTCTCTCTTAGTAATATGTTTTCTATTATGTTTGACAAATCTACAAAGAACAAAAGTAAAACTCCATGGAGTGGAAAGGAGGGACTGATACTAAACATTATCTGTAAATGATTACAGATAATGTAATCATTTTATGATATTTGCTAAAATATAGTAGACAATAATGCTAAATTAATCCTAAATTAATCTTTTTCTGCCACTGGGCTGTAAAGGGGCTATGAAGTCCCACAGTTATATTATGCCATGAGTCCTGTTCTCCGTTGTAAAGATGGATTTAAACCACTGTCATCTCCTGCCTACATGGCGCCAACATCCTCTGTTCTGGCTCCTGTCTGCTTGACTCCTGCCATTCAATGCTTAACATTGCATCAAGAAATATCTTTCTGAAAAACAAGTCTAATTATGTTACTTCCCTTCTCCATACCTATTCATGTTTTCCCTCAAAGGAGGGTAACATGGTATCTTAGCATGACAGAAAAAGCTTTAGATTACCTGGTCCAACACAGAACTATCTACAGAGTTGGTGCTTAATAAAGAAAGACTTGCTCAATGGGCAATCAGTGGTTTCTACCAAAGAAAAGAAAAGGAAACACAGTGATGGGAGTTAGCTCTTTCATTTCACCCATATTTTCTGAGCATTGACTTTGTGCAGGACATTGGGGTAGGGGGAAGGAAAGATTTTCAAACCAAAAATATGTACTTTATCTACCATATTTCTTGCTCTAACCTTTAGGAACCGGAGACTCTAACAGGGAATACAAGGATTGTATGCAAACTACCGTGTGGTTATTACTTGATAAATGTGTTAAGAGAGTTCAGCCAGAGATTCACTTTCAACTGAGGGACTCAGAAGTTATAGACACTTGATCTGGGCTTTGATGAAGGAATAGGTGCATGAGAAGGGGCAAATCTGCAGAGCCTAGGGAGAACCCTCTGGTATGGCAAGTTCAGCAAAGAGGCACACTTCTTCATGCTCTTTGCCTATAATGTGGGGAATGTTAGGATTGGCAATGAGTAGTAAAGTTGGAACCCTAACATGAACAGGGTCCTTGGAGGGTCTTGATTGCTAGTAAATTATAAGTTGAGCCTTCTCTGTAAAGATCCTTGAGGCCCCAGATAATTATCTGCAAAGCCGGAACTCCGGGTGTTTCCCTCCCAGCCTACCCTCCTTACTTGTAATTCATTCAGGCTCACTCACTGCTCCTGCCTCACACCCTGTGACATCAGGCTGTAGTCAGCTTCTTGCTACCAGGGGAATTTGATTCCCCAAATTATTCTTCATGTTGCTTTACACTTCCCTAAGCCTCCACTTTCTTCCCCAACAGACTAAGAAACAAGAAAGGAAACAGACAGATCTGCATTCTAATCATAACTCTTCTACTTTTAGATGTGTGACCTTGGGCAAATTACTTAACCTTTCTGAGCCATCTGTAAAGTGGTGATAATAATTTATATCTTAGAGAGATGGTATTAGGATAAATAAAATGTTTAAGCACGTAGCTCTTAGATGTTTCACAAAGTGTTGTCTTTCCATGCCAGACTCCAGGCCCAATCAGGTCAAATTTAGGGGCCTAACCACCCTGCCCCCATCCCCAGACTTCTATTAGAGCAGCTTAATGAATTCTCAACTGTGATCATTATTAACTCTCCTGGTTTCTTGCTCAGAGGCTAGAAGACAGTGTTACTCAGCAAGCCTTAAAGGCTCCTGTTAAACTAGGCTCACTAGCGAGGTTAAAAGCGAAAGACTTGACCTATTCTGGTATTTTAGCTGATTCACATTAGAATGGCCTATGTAACACCTGGAGGGGAAAGATAATGTCCTACTTTGTTTAAGCTAGAAGGAAAAGTAATTGAAAATTTATGAAAACAAAAACAGGTGTGTGAAACGGTGTGCATTGGCGCTTGCCACCCTTTCCCAGGACATTGTTCCTGGTTGGGAACCCTCATGCTATAAAAGAATTAGGAGCATCTCAGCAAGCTTGAGTCATAAGAAGTACAATATTTATTCAACACACAGATAGCCAGCGGATGCACCAACAATGGCAATCCGGATTTCACTGTGACTGGAATGCTGTTTAGAGACTTAATTGTGTAATGAGCAGTGGCACCAGGTCACCAGGTGTATCTGATTGAAGTCTTTGCTTCCGCTAGTTTCAGAGTAGATAACTAAAGGCGGTCTACAGAAGAGAATCTGCTCACCTGGAAGCCTTACTTGAACTGGGAAAAGTTTCCAGCTTTTGGCTTCTGAGATCCATACGAATATCCCTGCAACCAGGCACAGAAAAGTTACTGACCCCAGCATGTTTCATCATCTTTTGTAGCAAGTGGGCATGGATCCGCCTGAGCCTGGGATAACACCCCTCTCTCCTGCCAAGGTTTGCTTGGTACTTTGAATCCACACTATTTCGTAGACTCACAAAATATTAAAGAGAAAGTCTAATTATTTCACTTCTGAAATGAGAAAATGGAGATGCAATGAGGGCATAGTTTATTAATATGACAGTGATAGCTATAAAAAGGTCTGTGTGAGAACATAGCTCTTCTGATTCTCAGAGTGTTACTTTTCCATGATATTTGCTAAAATATAGTGGACAATAATGCTAAATTATTTTTTTTCTGCCACTGAAACAGACAGTAAATGTATTTGCCTATTTTCTTCAACAAGCTAAGCTATGTGCATATAAAGGCATATTGTCAATTTCTCTCTCTATTTAAAAAATTTTAGTCCCTTAATGGCCAGCTGATAACATGTACTTTATAGCTTAACTTTAATAGAGTTAATAAGAAATAAAAAGCATGAGAAGGCTTTGATATTTATTAGGGAAATAAGCACACAGAACTCTGTCACAGGCACAATTTAATTCAAAAAATGGTTATGAGGAGGTCCTGAAATATGACTAAAATCCCAGCACAATAAAATATTTATTAAAAATCAATTTTAATTATTTTTCAAGTAATCAGAATTTAAAGTCTTTGGTTAACTCCCCAATCTACTTCCATGCTATATTCAAGCTTTCAAAAACTGAGGGGCTCCATGAGTCTATTTTATTTATTTATTTATTTGAGATGGAGTTTTGCTCTTGTTGCCCAGGCTGGAGTGCAATGGTGCTATCCTGGCTCGCTGCAACCTCCGCCTGCTGGTTTCAAGCAATTCTCCTGCCTCAGCCTCCTGAGTAGCTGAGATTACAGGCATGCACCACCAAGCCCAGCTAAGTTTGTATTTTTAGTAGAGACAGGGTTTCACCATGTTAGCCAGGTTGGTCTCTAACTCCTGACCTCAGGTGATCCACCTGCCTTGGCCTTCCAAAGTGCTGGGATTATAGGCATGAGCTACCACACCAGGCCTCCATGGGTCTATTTTGATGAAAAGACAATTGTTTCTAATGATTCTTGAACCAGATAACTTCTTACTTTTACATTCATTCAGATTCTTCTGACTCATCCAAGCTTATCTCTACTTGGGTTACTTTTTAGAATAATCAGTGAAAAATCTAATCGTTTGAATATGCTTAGGTATAAAAAAAAATCAGATATTAAAAGCCCCAGAAGATGTTTGGGATTAGGGCAAGGGGGTAAAGGGCAGCAGCCTTATGCCAAGCCTCCTCCATCCTTGGCTCCTTCACGTTAAGTATATGTCTGTGTCTCTGCTTAGCTACCTGTCTACCTATCATCTATTTCTTTAGCTATTTATATCTCTATCTAATAAGAAGCTATAGCCAGAGAAGGAAGAAATGACCAATTTCCTGGAGTCATATCCTTCTATGGTCCCAAGGAAGGATACTCCCAAATACAGGCACCTGCCTTTGGTAGAATGCAATATTGCAGCTACTTTTAGACCATTGTTTGGCAGCTGCTATGCTTCTGGTTCAATTACTTTCACTAGTTATGCTACAGAGACAGATATTAATGCATATTTCAAGCTTTCTAGATATAAAAGGCAAAACTTATATCCTCTGAGCAGTCTTACAGAGTTCTCCCACTTCTACCTTGCCCTTCTCATTATTAGAAGCAAAGAACTACTCCATACTCATGCAGCTTTTCCAAGGATGTAATGTCATACTTGCTTATATATCCCTTCCTAATATTGCAACATGGAACTAGAAGATTATTTTTTCTGGCTTTTAGGAGATGGCAATTAGAATTCAACACACTTTGGATCTCAGTTAGACTTAATTTTGCTTAAAAAATAACTTGCATAACTTTTGTATAAATCTGCCCTGTTCTTTTTTTGGGTGCCTGGCAAACAGTAAGTAGTCATTCATTGAAGGAAGGACTGATATGTGCTCACATTTTCCCATTTGCTAAACTGAAACCATTGTAGCAGAATTAAATAGCCTCCCTCTAAGGAAGTCATATCATTTTGTAACTTCTAATTAAATGACACCATTTTTTTCTGCCATTCCTTATGTTCTTTCTGCACATTCGTACCCATGGCATGGCTTTCACTCCCATTGCATGATTTTGTCGTTGTCATTATCTCCAACAAAAGCCTGGTCTTCATTTTCATGAGTGTGATCACGTTACCTCTTGTACATCTCTGCCTGAACAGCCCAAAGGTACCTCAAAATTAACATGTCCAAAGATGAACCCATTATCTTACACCATCTCCCTTCTCCCTCTCTAATACATACACAAACACACACACACAACTGTTTCACCTTCTGTTCTTCCCCCATTGCATGATTTTGTCGTTGTCATTATCTCCAACAAAAGCCTGGTCTTCATCTTCATGAGTGTGATCACGTTACCTCTTGTACATCTCTGCCTGAACAGCCCAAAGGTACCTCAAAATTAACATGTCCAAAGATGAACCCATTATCTTACACCATCTCCCTTCTCCCTCTCTAATACATACACAAACACACACACACAACTGTTTCACCCCCTGTTCTTCCCATCTCAGAGTATGTCACTATAATCCATGTAGCTGAATAGGTTTGAGATCAGGAAGTTTGCCTAGCTTCCTTATCTCTCTCAAAATCCAATACCATTTCTCTCAGTGTTCCCAAATCACTCCAGAACAGAGTTTTAAATTCTAAACATTACTTCTTCTTGATACCTACGTCTTTCTCCAGGTATTTCTTCACATAAATAAATTTCATTTTTTAAGCATATTATGTTCTAACATGCCTCTCTCCTTTTCTGTAAGTGTTGCCTTCCACTTCCCAAGGGTTGCCCTATTAACTTATCCTGTTAAGATTCAACTCAAATGTCATTTTCTCTATAAGACTTTCCATTCTCAATTTTCTCATTTCTTGCACATCTCTCTTGTAGCACTTTACAGGTTGTACTGTAATCACCCATTTTTTTTCTTTTTCCTGCATGCACTGCAAGATGAGAAATCATGTTCCTATATTTTCCATTTTATTTCTCTAGCACCTAGGATGTTTGTAGTAGGTGTTTCATAAATATTTATTGATAAACAAATGAATAAATGATGTAAGGTAAGAACAAAGCCTTTGGAAGAACAGGTCTAGTGGTTTCTCACTAGGGCTGGGAGTAGGAAATCATTTTCCTGGGATGACAGCTCAGATAGACTAAAAGGTAAAGTTAGGGGGGAGGTAATACACCCCAGAGGACCATTTAATCCTGCAATCATTTAATAAATGGTAGATTGGCGCTACTTAAATGAAAGATGGCTCTGCAATTTCAGTAAAATAAGAAAAAAGTAGTTGACACCAAAATGTGGACTAAAATACTATGCACTGGTAGGTAATAAATTAAAATGTTGTATCAAATATGTACTGAATGTATGACATGAACAGATGGTTTCCTGACAAACCTGTCTTCGCCCAAGGCATCTGGTTAAAAAGCTAAATGATAGATCCCTAATGGCCTCATTCCCCTTAATATACCATCTTACTATTATCCAGGAGTTTATATAAAATCTCTAAAATGTATCTTTATTTTTAACTTTGTTACTTTATTTTCCTTAAGTGTAATGTGTAATTCTTTCAAGTTTCAAAGCTCTGGGTTGGGGATGGTGTCTACCAGATCTGTTATTCCGGGGTTTGGTAAACCAGACACTATTCACCTCATCCATATAATTATGACTTTATGACTTACATCATATGGCCTTTCCTATTAAATGTTGGGCCCAGTAGTTTTTCAATTTCATCCCTGAGTACCTTCCTAATTCTTGGATGGATATTAGCTCCCTTTCCCCAGTAATTTTCTTATCATTTCTTTTTTAGTTAGATCCAGAATACCTGAAAGTTAACATCATGTAAACTAGTATTGTTTTTAAAGATAAAATGAGAGTGAAATTCTTACATCATAAAAATGGAGATCATCCATATAACCCCTACTTATTCTTTTATTATCCTTGAGCAGTTTTTATTTCTTTTTGTTTAAATTATGGCTTTATATGTTCTTTCAATTTTATTTTTATCTAAGAAATCATTTGTTTAAATGTCTTGTCATTTTTGGTTGAAGAAATTGGGGTGAAAAGAATAAGGATGTTTAATAAGAATGAAAAAGTTCAGTCTTTGGCTTTGCTATTTAATTCATTTCTGCTTTCTGCAAAAAGCCCTGTAATGATAAACAGACATGGACCCTTCCTCCATGAAAACACACACAATAGTAAATATGCACATAACTCTCACTACCAACTATATTAAGTATAATTCAAGAGCAGGGCATGGAGCCAAGAGTTAAGTGTATCCTACCTGAAATTAGGTAGTCCAGTAAAGGCTTTCTGAAGAAATGACATTCTGAGATGTGCATTGGAATAACAAAAGAGTAGGAAAGAAAGCATTCCAGTCAGAGAACCTCATGGGAAAAGCCGTGGACTAAGATTCCTGGTTTAGCCAAGTCACTGAGAGAATTTAAAGTGGTTGGAGGATGATAACAGAAAAAGGAAGGGGCATGAGATTATATGAAATTACAAAGGTAGATCATGACCAGATATGCCTTTTAGGCATGGAAAGGAGGTTAACCTTCATTCTAAGTGCAATGAAAATCTCATAAACGATTTAAACATGAGAATGTCGTGGTTATATTTGTGTTTTAAAAGATCAGTTCAAATGCTTTGTAGAGTGATATATTCGCAACTAAGAGTAGAAAAAGACCTGTAAAAAACTATTAAATAGCAAATAAATGATGATAGCATGGACAAAAAATGCTGCAAATGAGATAAAGAGGAGGCCTTTAACAAGTTACTTGGCTGAATAGCATGGATAGTATCTACCTCAAAAGGTCAAAAAACATATGTGAATTTATGCCTTTAAAGCACTAAACACAGTTTTGGTACAGAGAAAGTATATACATATTTATTTTTATTATTGTTGTTACTATGATTACTTCTGTTGTTTGGAGTTGTTTGGCTTGGTTTTAAGGTGTGGAGTTTGAATGTCAGTGAGAGACGGGACATTTATTTGATGTGTTGTAGTTTACTGGTTTTGAAAGAAGTTTGATAGAATTGTATTATGGTGTACTGTTTTATGGGGTGGTATTTAGAATGAGGCTAGGTGATGTTTAATAGGTGTTAGAAAAGGAAAATGAAACAATTAAATTTTTAAATATCTAATAATTAACTTGCCTTGGGACCAGTAGGGCCTTACTATCCTTTTCCTCACCCCCTCTGTTTCCTCCAAGAAGCTGTATCAATATTTCTAAGCCATAAAGCCTCATTCCATAAGGATGATACAAATATTATGATTATAGTGGTAATTCTCTACTGATGTCAGAACCATTCCTTTCATGAAAATCATCCTAGGACGTCTTGGAATGTCAGAGCTGGAAAGGAACTAGGAGGTAATTGGGCCTAGTTCTCTTTGTTGCAGATGTAGAGGCTGAGACTGAGAAAGGAAGGTGCTTTGACTCTTGAGGGGTACCAGATTGTGGGTTGAAAATGCCCTGGACTGGGCATCCGAGTGAACATAGTCAAGCACCACATCTATCATCAACCCTCCATGCAGTATTGGACAACTTGCATAATCTCCTGAGGCTCGGTTTCCTCATAGTAAAATGAGGACCCTAATATCTGCCCTGCCTAGCTAAAAAGTTGAAGAAAAATAATGCACTTAAAAACATTTTATGAACTATGAAATGTACTTGCTATTATTTCTGTGCCATGTTTACAACCACTAAGACAGCAGATGGTATTCTTGATTCAATTGTTTGCATACAGGTAGTTAGTGTAGCTCATGGTTATGGTGCTCAGAAATTCCTGAAGTAAATTTATTGGGGGGCTATGTTCTGAACACATGTGTAAGCTGAAAATCTTCAAGTACATATTTCATGAATTATTAAGACCATTAAACCTCAATATGGCCTGGAGATATAATATTATTTATATTTTACTCTAAGAAAATAGATGCACTTTAAGTAACCAAGTAATTTTAAAAATCAGTATAAGGTCACACAGCCACTAGACAGCAGAGCCTGATTTCAAACCTTGATCTACCTTGTTCAAAAAGCCACAGAATTTTGACTATTAACAGGGAGGCTGTACTACTGTCAAAGAGATAAACTGACATCATTTCTGGGGACAAAAAATAAAAAAGAATTCTTAAATTGACCAAACACGATTAGGAAACCAAAGGCACATTTGTGTTCTCCAGGTTGTGTTGAAATGCAGCTGATATGATATTGCAATTGAGCAATCGGGTGTAAAAATCACTGATAAAAACACACCACAGATGGCAATTAATTACCACACAGGCCTTGCTCCATTACACAGTGAAAGATTGAGGAAGAAACAGCAACAAGACTAAACCAGGAAGTGCCAACATCTACAGGAACCTGCCCTCTGCTGGTCAACCCAGTGTCCCATCCTTGTTAAACAAGGACATTATTCAAAGATGCAAATGAGGTATTTTGAGCACTTTTATATTTATGACTTTATTACTCTGAGACAGTTGGGAGTTTTAATTTTGTGGTTAGCCTACCTGCTGTTTCTTTATTAAAATCTTAGTTCTGATTAATCAAAAATGCTCTTTGTAGTCAAGTCACATAGATTCTGCAAACTAGGATGCACTAGTTCACTCTGAATTTGGTGTGAGACTTATCTTTTAAAGATGCACACTGATTTATATGTGTGCTCACAAGCGTGGCAGTGAATTAAAATATGATAGCAAGTGGGAAAGGTTCATGGCTTTCTGAATGTGATCATAAATAAAGATTTCATGACCAAGTTGCTCTGTATAATCCTTGTTACTCCTCACCTATGGGCATATTGCAGTCACTCTGTTGGTGGTAACCTTTGCTAAACTAGCATTGGGTTTGCATAGCCTCATAAAATTGGCATCAAAAATCCACAATTCAATCAGCTGCCAGAGTTTTTTATACATACCGCTCTAAAGCATGTAAATTATTTGAAGCAATTGAAATGATTATTTTCCATCATCACCCAGATTTTTGTCCACCAGCAATGGCCGAGAGAGCCAGCTTCGTATTTTATCCTGTGGAGGTCTGAAAAGCAACAAATTCTGAATATGAAATTTGGAGAAAGGGTAGCACAAACGAAAAAGTGGTTCAATAGAGAAAAGTAGAGAGGACATCAAAAGTGGATGTAAATGGTGTTCTGAAAATTTCATATACATATATATATATTCCCCTTGGATTCTATTTTACCCGCAAATATTACTTATTAAATATTCACAAGGAAATGATTGTCTCTTATAGATTTGGCATACCAATTTAATACACAAGTCTCCTTTGTGGTAACTTCTAATATTCTACCCAGAACAGCAATATTATTTTAGATATACACATAATAAAATATAATTTAATACCTAGAACTATGAAACAGGAGAGACAGCCAAGGTCATAAAAGTGATGCTATTTACATTGAGTACAAGCATTTCTTTATGAGATAACCTTCACTGCCAAGATGCCAGGAGACTCTTCTTAAGCAAGAGATTTTTGGTAATTACAGAAAGCAGCAAAGCAGAAGAGACTAGCATTGCTATGGGACCATATCTCTGTCTACCATGTATCTTTGAACAATTTCTGACCTAAATGAGCCTCAGAATCTTATAAACATAACACCTATTTCACTGGATTTTTTCAGAATTAAACTTCAAATGTAAAATGCCAGGAACATGGTAGACATTACGAAAAGTCTGAGACTCCTTTTTCCTGAGCAAACTTAGCTAGCACTACTATTGTCTATGGTAATACTCTACCCAATTAACTTCATCTGTTTACTCTCCCTATCCCAAACGTGTACAGCCTTATATAACTCTGGTAATAAACCATTAGATCCTAGAGCCACTTTCATGACTGAAAACAACTAAGAAGTAATTGTAAATGTCCCCTGGCTTCTGCTCTATTGTATAACCTGCTTCCTGAAAGTCCAAATCCCTGCAAGAACTAGCACTGCCCCACAATAGTACAGGGAGGTCCCTGGAATGTTTCCCAAGTGCTTCTAAGTTTCTTTTGATGTAGTTGCCGTTACTGCCCTCTGGGACTCTGATTGGTCTGCTACTCACTGTGGTCTCTCAATGGGCCTCACTGCCATTGTCTTTCTCCATCTATTTCCATGGATATAGTAGAGCCCCCATTTACCAAAACTGCAAGGACCCTGTGATAGAAGAAACTAGAGAGATCTGATGATTACTTGCCCTCTCATCTTGAGTTAGTACTGTGTAAGTAAGGTCCCAAAACATGGCTTCTTCTGTCCCTATCTTGCAGAGGCTTCTGAAAATTTCAGATTGGGTGTAAAATCTTTTCCTTTCTCTGGAATAGATGAGAACTGGATGTATCAGGCTTCACACTGTATTCCTGTAACACATGCATTAACAATCTGTGATCTGAATTCTACCAGAGGTACAAAGAGGGGCTGGTACCATTCCTGCTGAAACTCTTCCAAAAAATTGAAAAGGAGGGCCTTCTTCTTAACACATTCTATGAGGCCAGCATCATCCTGATACCAAAACCTGGTAGAGATACAACAAAAAAAGAAAACTTCAGCCCAATATCCTTGGTGAACATGGACGTAAAAAATCTTCAACAAAATACTGGTAAACCAATCCCAGAAGTACATCAAAAAGCTTACCTACCACTATCAAGTAGGCTTCATCCCCAGGATGCAAGTTTGGCTCAACATATGCAAATCCATAAAGGTGTTTCCTCAAATAAACAGAACAAAAGAAAAAAGCACATGATTATCTCAATAGACGCAGAAAAAGCCTTTGATAAAATTCAACATCCCTGGATGTTAAAAACTCTCAATAAACTAGATACTGAAGGAAAATATCTCCAAATAGTAACAGCCATGCAAGACAAACCCACAGCCAATATCATACTGAATGGGCAAAAGCTAGAAGCATTCTCCTTGACCGGCAAAAGACGAGGTTGTCCTCTCTCACCAATCCTATTCAACATAGTATTGCAAGTTCTGGCAAGGGCAATCAGGCAAGAGAAAGAAATAAAGGTATTCAAACAGGAAGAGAGAAAGTCAAACTATCCTTGTTTGCAGATGACATGATCTTATATCTAGAAAACCCCACCAACTCAGCCCAAAAGCTTCTTCAGCTGATAAGCAACTTCAGCAATGTCTCAGAATACAAAGTCATTGTGCAAAAAAAAGCTAGCATACCTACACACTTACAACAGGTAAGCCAAGAGCCAAATCATGAATGAACTCCAATTTATGATTGCCACAGACAGAATAAAATACCTAGGAGTGCAGCTATCAGAGATGACACAAACAAATGGAAAAACATTCCATGCTCATGGATAGGAAGAGTTAATATCGTGAAAATGGCCATATTGCCCAAAGCAATTTATAGATTCAATGCTATTCCCATTAACTACCATTGGCATTCTTCGCACCATTAGAAAAAACTATTTTAAAATTCATATGGAACCAAAAAAGAGCCCGGATAGCCAAGGTAACCCTAAGCAAAAAGAACAAAGCTAGAGGCATCATGCTACCTGACTTCACACTATACTACAAGGCTACAGTAACCAAAGCAGCATAGTACGGTAAAGGAACAGACAACTAAATGAATGGAACAGAAGAGAGAACCCAGGAATAAGACTGCACACTTACAACTATCTGATGTACAACAAAACTGACAAAAACAAGCAATGGGGAAAGGATTCCCTATTTAAGAAATGGTGCTGAGAGGAGTGGCTAGCCATATGCAGAACATTGAAACTGGACCCCTTCCTTACACCATATACAAAAATCAACTCAAGATGGATTAAAGACTTTAATTTAAAAGTCAAAACTATAAAAACCCTGAAAGAAAACCTAGACAATACCATTCAGGACATAGACAGAGGCAAAGATTTTATGATGAAGGCACCAAAAGCAAATGCAACAAAAGCAAAAATTGACAAATGGGATCTGATTAAACTGAAGAGCTTCTGCATAGCAAAATAAAGTATCAACAGAGTAAACAGACAACCTACAGAATGGGAGAATATTTATGCAATCTATGCATCTGAAAAAGATCTAAAATCCTACATCTATAAGGAATTTAAGCAAATTTACATGAATAAAACAACCCCATTAAAAAGTGGGCAAAGGAAATGAACAGACACTTCTCAAAAGAAGACATATATGCAGCCAAACAAACATTTAAAAAAACCTCAGCATCACTTACCATTAAAGAAATTCAAATCAAAGCCACCATGAGGTACCATCCCACACCAGTCATAATGGCTATTAACAAAGTCAAAAAACAACAGATGCTGGTGAGGTTGTGGAGAAAAAGTTATGCTTTTTCACTGTTGGTGAGAGTGTAAATTAGTTCAACCATTGTGGAAGACAGTGTGGTGATTCCTTAAAGACCTAGAGGCAGAAATGCCATTACTGAGTATATACCCAAAGGATTATAAATAGTTCTATTATAAAGACACATGCATATGTATGTTCATTGCAGCACTATTAACAATAGCAAAGGCCATGGAACCAACCTAAATGCCCATCAGTGACAGACTGGATAAAGAAAATGTGGTACAGAGACACTGTGGAATACTATGCAGCTATAAAAAGGAACAAGATCATGTTCTTTGCAGGGACATAGATGGAGCTGGAGGCCATTATCCTTAGCAAACTAACACAGGAACAGAAAACCAAATACCACATATTCTCACTTATAAATGGGAGCTAAATGATGACAACATATGGACACATGGTGGGGAACAACACACACTGGGGCCTGTTGGAGTGTGGGAGGAGGGAGTGGATCAGGAAGAACGGCCAGTGGATGCTGGGCTTAATAGCTGGGTGATGGGATGATCTGTACAGCAAACTACCATGGCACGTGTTTACCTATGTAACAAACCTGTACATACTGCACATGTACACCTGAATTTAAAATAAGTTTGAAAAAATAAAACAACAGTTTGTGATCTTTCAACAACAACAGCTTTCTCACTGGCTTAGCTCATTATGTCTACTTGATGAGCTGTTTCCTTGGAGGTTTCTAAAGTCACTGTTGTCCTTAGACCCTGGCAAGAGGGCCTCTACCTTCACCTGAATGCATTAGATATCCTCACTCTGGTCCTTTGCTGGGCAGGCACACTCTTTAGCCATGTGGTAAAGGAAAACTGCACACTGAAATTCCAACTTGACTTTTGGATCTAAACCACCTTTTGGATACCTGGCATTTGAGAACTCCCTGCCAAAATAGTCTAAGCCTGCCTCATGGGGCTGTTTGTGACCCTTCTCCATGTCCACCCTCCTTTGATCAGACTGAGCTCTGATCTTGTGTACCTTCAGGCCCTGGAGACACCAGGGAGCATTGTTATAAACATGGTAGATGGATATGCTGACTCCGGTGACCCTTATCATGTAGAAGGAAGCTGCTGTTGAGAATAGAACAGGGCAAGCCATCAGCTGGTTTATTGTTGTTTGTTTTCTCTATTTTGCCAGTTCTCACAGAATTCTAAGGAGTCTAAAAATACTAAATTGAAACCTGGCCTTCCAGGTCATTATGAAGAAATATATTTGTTAAGGCAGAGGATATACCACATTTTATTTAGTATGTTAGCTGAATTTATAACATAGATATTTAGACCTGGGGTCTGTGGATTTCTGTCTGTACTTTAGTCTCTAAGACCCGAAAGTATATAAGGGCAAGCCTGCCTCAAACCCTCTACAAATAGAGTTTAGTCTGACTTTCCCTAGCAATTTTCTGGACATACTAAAAGATGGTATAATTTTAAATTTTTGGTGACTAAGAATCTCTTTGGTTTTGTAATTTTTTTAATCAAAGCAAAGCTGTTCTGACATAAGTAGAGGGAAGGTGGGTGATTACAAAGGACTCAGGACTTTCAGGAACATAACAGTGACAATGGGCCATGGAACCCAAGCTCCATGGGTTAATCTAAGAGAGGCCCTGCATAAAGTGAAACAGTGAATGGAGAGGTGGTTATGAACTTAAAGAGCAGTTGCACCAGGGACACTTCAGCAACAGAGTGGGAAGGTGAAAGTCTGTGGACAGACAGAAGATGTTATTTGTTTATAGCTTAGGAGATTGTGACCATAGAGTTTGTGACTGACATGGGTTGGAAGAGGAAGACATTATTGATGGTTCCACAGCAAAATTCTATACTTTTGGATACCCTTTTCCCAGTTAGAAAAAAAAAAAGTGCAGTTCACTGCTAATGCTCATTTAATTTTACATTAGCACACTTTTTGAGGCTGAAGAAAATCTGGCCAATTTTCAGTATGAAAATATAAAAAACTGTTCTTGGAGTTATTTCTGAACAGAACTAATGTCAGAATCATCTGAATCATCAGAATCATCTATTTCAGAAAAATTGGATTCATCAAATGAATCTTCGGCCAACAAATTTGGAGAACAATATTAACATCACGTGTGATAATGCTATATTTTCTAGGATTTGACATTTTCAGCAATCAAGAATTACTGTATTTTGTAAATGGAAATACCACTACTAAAGACAGAATGTTTATAAATAGAATGATGTCTTTTGTTTCCAAAGTCAATATACTAGAGTAATGCAAAAATAGTAATAAAGTAAGATATTTCTTGGCAAAGTTATCTCAGGGTAAATGCTGCAGCTGCCAGTGCCACTGGCGAGTAGTCTCACAGGAAATGAGAAAAGGATTAAATGTGCACCATTATGTTGAATTCACTCTGAATGAGGATGAAGGTGAGGACTGAGAGGAAGTTCATGAGCCAGGTGATAACATGTTCAAAGACAAAAAAAAAAAAAGGAGTGATTAGAAACTTGGTAAGTGAGATATCCAAAAGGGGAAAGTGATACAAGGCGTGAATCACAATGAAATGAAGATATTTATGAAATCATAAGAAAAATGCTTTAGGAGAAGTGTAGAAGAGTCATACCCACCTGTATGTGGGTATTTTTTTTGTATTTTTTTCCAAGTATTTTGGGATTCTCTTGCCATATGCCAAATCTACTATTTCTTTAAGCCTATGTCAAATCCCCATTTCTCATAGAGTATTTCTGCTCTTTTTCATTCTACTCTGGTTTCAGTTTCCTGATCCCCTAAAATGTTTATTTTATGTAATATGTGATTCAGCATTTCAAGGTATAAAGCTCGTCTCCTCCTGGTTATTTAATTTTGTCTTTCCAAATAGGCTGCCAGCTCCATGAAAATAGCGATCTTAGTTTTTTTTTAATCCATTTATATCTCACAGTTTTTAGCAAAATGTAAAGCATATGTGTGGCATCATAAATTCAATACAATTACCAAATTTTCTTTTCTTAGGAAAAACCATCCCTGATTTTGAATGACCCACACCATTAGTTTGGACTATAAAGATGATTCTGTAGGATTTCTCAAGGGAGTGTTGAATGACTAAAGACAATTATACTGGCCTATTAAAAACAAGCCTACCTTTATTCAACATAAGGGAAGAAACAGTCCCAAAGCAGGGCATTCACCAAGAGCAGAAGCCTGCTTTCCTCCAGATTTCTCTCCTTCCTAAATATCCTTCCCATTTCTGTTTGTATCTGATTATTTTTTTTTTTGGCCCACGGAAATGCACATAACAATGCCTTGACTTCAAATGTTACATTGAGTATATGAAAGTACATTTAAAAATGTATTAATCAACATTTGAAAATCAATTAATGTAATCCATCATATCAACAAACTAAAGGTAAAAATCATTAATAAATTACTAAATGCAGAAAACGCATTGAGAAAATCCAACATCCATTCAAGTGATAATTCTCAGGAAATTAGAATAGAGGGAGACTTCCTCAACCTGATAAAGAACATGTATCAAAAACCTAAGCTGACATACTTAGTAGTGAGATATTAGATGCTTTACTCCTAAGATCAGAAAAAAGGCAAAGATGTTCTTTTTCACCAATTCTATTAAACATTACACTTGAAGTCCTAAGTAATAAATGACAAAAGAAAATTAAAGATATACAATTGTGAAACAGGAAATAAAATTTTTTTCGCAGATGACATGATTATCTATAGAAAACTCAAAAATAAAAACAAAATTCGTCTAACAAGTGGCCACAGTAACTTTGCAGGGTAAAAGTCCATATACACGAGTAAATTACTTTCCTATATATCAAGAGTTAGCAATTGGGTTTTGAAATTTAAAATACACCACCGGTTATGTTAGCATGAAAAATGAAATAGTTATAAGTCTAAGAAAATATAAGATTGATGGGGAAACCACAAAACTCTGAGTAAAAAAAAAAAAATCAAGAAAGATCTAAATAGATGTTGAGATATTCCATGTTCATGAATAGGAAGACTCAACATTATTAAGATGCCAATTCTTCCCAACTTGATCTGTAGATACAAAACAATCTCAATCAAAGTCCCAGCAAATTATTTTGTGACTATCAACAATCAGAATCTAACAAAGTTGGAAGACTGACGTTTTTTAACTGCAAGACATACTATAAAGCTATAGTAATCAAAGTCTTATGGTATGGGTGAAAGAATAGACAAATATATAAAGGGAATAGAATACTGTACACGGAAATAAGTTCACACAAATATAGTCAACTGATCTTCAGTTAACTATAGAACAAAGGCAATTAAACAGAGAAAGGATAGGTTTTTTTTAGCAAATAGTGCTATAACAACTGGAGATCCACATGTGATAAAATGAATCTACACACAAACTTTATATTTTCACAAACATTAAGCTCAAATGGATCATAGACTTTAGTGTAATTCACAAAATATAAAATTCTAAATCACACAGGAGAATATCTAAGTGACCTTGAATTTGACGATGAGATTTTATATGTAACACCAAAAACATGATCCATGAATAATTGATAATTTGGACCTCATTAAAATTAAACTTCTGCTCTATGAAAGACATGCTTAAGGGAAATAAAAACAAGCCAGAGAGTGGGAGAAAATATTTACAAAACAATTATCTGATAAGAGACTGACATTTAAACTCGACGTAAGAAAAAAAAATACTACTTACAAAATGGAGAAAATATCTTAACAGAGACCTCACCGAAGAAGAGAAACAGATGAAAAAGAAGCACATGAAATGATGCTTCATGAAATATATTATTAGGGAAATTCAAATTAACACAGCAATGATATACCACTAAACAACTATTAACTACTAATTTTAGAATGGCTAAAATTCAAAACACTGACAACGCAAAATGATGACAATGGTGCAAAACAACAGGAACCCTCATTTATTGCTTGTGGGAATGTATAATGTTACAGTCATTCTGGAAAACAATTTGGCAGCTTTCACAGAGCTAAACATAGGCTTATTAAATGATCCAGGAATCACAATCCTAGGTATTTTCCTGTATGAGTTGAAAACATGTTCACACAAAAACCTGTACGTGAATATTTGTAACAGTTTTATTCACAATTGCCAAAACTGGAAACAGTGAAGTTATCCTTTGCTAATTAAATTCAGAAGCAGGCTGGGCACGGTGGTTCATGCTTGTAATTCCAGCACTTTGGGAGGCTGAGGCAGGCAGATTGCTTGAGCCCAGGACTTCAAGGCCAGACTGGGCAACACGATGAAACCCTATCTCTACAAAAAATAAAAAATTATCTGGGTGTGGTGGCACATGCCTGTAGTCCCAACTACTTGGGAGACTGAGGTAGGAGGATCACCCAAACCAGAAAATGTTGGGACTGCAGTAAGCCATGATTGTGCCACTGAACTCCAGCCTGGGTGACAGAGTGAGACCCTGTCTCAAAATAAATAACTAAATAAATTCACAAGCAAAATGAGATACATCTATAAAATTAAATACTGATAGTCAATAAAAACAAATGAGTTATTATATCAAGCCATAAAAAAATAGAGGAACCTATGCAACTTGTGCTTTGCTAAATGAGAGAAGCCAGTCTGAAAAGGCTGCATACTATATAATTGCAATTAAATGACATTCTGGAAAATGTCATGAAAAGGCAAAAACTATAGAGACAGTTAAAAGATCAGTAATTGTCAGGAGTTCAAGGGAGAGAAAAGATGAATGAATGGTCACGAACATAGGTTTTTTTATTTTAATATTTAATTTTGTGGGTACAAAGTGAGAGTATATATTTGTGGGGTACATGAGATATTTTGATAAGGCATGCAATGCATAATAATCGCATCATTGAAAATGTACTATTTCTTTCCTCAAGCTTTTATCCTTTGTGTTACAAATGATCCAATTATACTTCTTTAGTTATTTTAAAATATACACTTGAATTATTGACTATAGTCATCCTGCTGTGCTATCAAATACTAGGTATTATTCATTCTTTCTTACTATTTTTTGTACCCGTTAACCATCCTCACATACCCCTAAACCCCCAGCTACCCTTCTAAGTCTCTGGTAACCATCCTTCTATTCTGTATGTCTATGAGTTCAATTGTTTTGATTTTGGGATAACACAAATAAGTGAGAACATGTGATGTTTGTTTTCTGTGTCTGGCTGATCTTACTTAACATAATGACCTCCAGTTCCATCCACATTATGCCAAATAATATGATCTCATTCTTGTTTGTGGCTGAATAGTACTCCATTTTGTATGAGTACCACATTTTCTTTATCCATTCATCTGTTGATAGACACTTAGGTTTCTTCCAAATCTTGGCTGTTGTGAACAGTACTGCAACAAACATGGGATGCCGATATCCTTCAATATATTATTTCCTTTCTTTTGGATATATACCCAGCTGTGGGATTGCCAGATCATATGGTAGCTCTATTTTAAGTTTTTTCAGGAACCTCCAAACTGTTCTCCATAATGGTTATACTAATTTACATTCTCATCAACAGTGTTCGAGGGTTCCCTTTTCTCCACATCCTTGCCAGCATTTGTTATTGCCTTCCTTTTTTTATTTTCTTTCTTTCTTTCTTTCTTTTTTTTTTTTTTTTTTTTTTTTTTTTTCTTTTTTTTTTGAGATGGAGTGTTGCTCTGTCGCCCAGGCTGGAGTGCAGTGGCGCGATCTCTGCTCACTGCAAGCTCTGCTTCCTGGGTTCACGCCATTTTCCTGCCTCAGCCTCCCAAGCAGCTGGGACTACAGGCGCCCGCCACCACTCCCGGCTAATTTTTTGTATTTTTAGTAGAGACAGGGTTTCACTGTGTTAGCCAGGATGGTCTGGATTTCCTGACCTCATGATCTGCCTGTGTTGGCCTCCCAAAGTGCTGGGATTACAGGCGTGAGCCACCGAACCTGGCCTATTGCCTGCCTTTTGACTCAGAGCCATTTAAACTGTGGTGAGATGATACCTCATTGTAGTTTTTAGTTGCATTTCTCTGATGATCAGTAATGTTGACCAGCTTTTTATATACCTATTTCCCATTTGTGTATCTCCTTTTGAGAAATGTCTACTCAAATACTTTTCAGGTTATTTAATTGGATTATGAGATTTTTTTGCTATAGTTTTTTGAGCTCCTTATATATTCTGGTTATTAATCCCTTGTCAGATGGGTAGTTTGCAAATATTTTCTCCCACTTTGTAGGTTGTCTTTTCACTTTTCTGATTGTTTCCTTTGCTGTGCAAAAGCATTTTAACTTGAAGTGATTCCATTTGTCCGTTTTTGTTTTGATCGCCTGTGCTTGTGGGGTATTACTTAAGAAATCTTTGCTTAGACTACTGTTCTGGAGAGTTTCTCCAATGTTTTCTTGCAGTAGTTTTATAGTTTGAGGTCTCAAATTTAAGTCTTTAATTTATTTTGATTTTATTTTTGTATGTGGTGAGAGACAGATATCTAGTTTCATTCCTCTGTAGATGAGTATGCAGTTTCCCAGTACCATTTATTGAAGAGACTGTCTTTTCTCCAATGTATATTCTTGGCACCTTTATCAAAAATAAATTTATTTTTGGCATGTGGATTTCTTTATGGGTTCTCCATTCTGTTACATTGGCCAATGTGTCTACTTTTATGCCAGTACCATGCTATTTTGATTACTATAGCTCTGTAGCATAATTTGATGTCAGGTAATGTGATTCCTCTAGTTTTGTTCTTTTGCTTAGGGTAGCTTTGTCTATTCTGGGTATTTTGTGGTTCCATATAAATGTTAGGATGGTTTTTCCTATTTCTGTGAAGAATGTTATGAGTATTTTGACAGGGATTGCATTAAATCTGCATATTGTTTTGGTTAGTATGGACATTTTAACATTATTAAATCTTCTAATCCATGAACATGAAATATCTTTCCATTTTTTGTTGTCCTCTTCAATATCTTTCATCAGTGTTCTATAGTTTTCATTGTAAAGATCTTTTACCTCTTTGGTTAAGTTACTTCCTAGGTAATTAAGTTTATGCGTGGCTATTGTAAATGTGATTATTTTTTAAATTTATTATTCATTTTGTGCACTGTTGACATATAGAAATACTGCTGATTTTTGTATGTTGATTTTGTATCCTGCAACGTTACTGTATTAGTTTATTAGTTCCAATAGTTTTCTTGTGGAATCCTCAGGTTTTTCTACATATAAGACCATACCATTGGCAAACAAGAATAATTTGACTTTTTCCTTTTCAATTTGGATGCCTTTTATTTCTTTCTCTTGTTTGATTGCTCTAGCTAGGACTTTCAGTACTATGTTGAATACCATTGGTTAATGGTCATTCTTGCTGTGTTCCAGATCTTAGAGGAAAGGCTTTCTGCTTTTCCCCATTCAGTATGATACTAGCTGTGGGCTAGCATACGGATTTAATTATGTTGGGGTATGTTCCTTTCATACTCATGTTTTTGAAAGTTTTTATTATGAAACTGTGTTGAATTATATCAAATGCTTTTTCAGCATCAATCAAAATGATTATATGGTTTATCGTTCATTATTTTGATATATCACATTGATTGATTTGCATATCATGAATCATCCTTGCATCCCAGGGATAAAGCCCACGTGGTCATGACAAAAAATATTTTTAACTTATTGTTGAATTCACTTTGGAATCATTTTGTTGAGATTTTTGATCAGTATTCATAAGAGAGATTGGCTTATAGTTTCTTTTTTTGATGTGTCTTTGTCTGGTTTTGGTCTCAGGGCAATACCGGCCTCATAGAATGAGTTTCAAAGTATTTTCTCCTCTATTTTTTTGTATAGTTTGAGGACGATTGCTATTGGTTCTTCTGTAAATGTTTGGTAGAATTTAGCAGTAAAGCCATTGAGCTCAGGGCTTTCCTTTGCTGGGAGCCTTTTTGTTATGGCTTCAATCTTGTTAATTGTTATGGTCTGTTCAGATTTTGTATTTTTTCATGGTTCAGTCTTGGGAGATTGTATGTGTCTCAGAATGTATCCATTTCTTCTAGATTTTCCAGTTTATTGGCATATAGTTGCTCATAGTAGCCACTAATGATCATTTGAATTTCTTCAGTATTGTAATGTCTTTTTTTCATCTGATTTTATTTATTTGAATGTCTCTTTTTTTTCTTAGTCTGGCTAAAGGTTTGTCATTTTTGTTTAACTTTAAAAAAACAACTTTTCATTTCATTGATCTTTGTATTGTTTTCTTCATTTAAAAATCATTTATTTGAGATGATCTTTATTTTTTTCTCTTATTTTGAGTGTAGTTTGCTCTTGCATTTCTAATTATTTAAGATGCATCCTCAAGTTATTTATTAGAAGTTTTTCTTTTTTGATATAGGCAGTTATAGCTATAAAATTGTTATTTGCTGAATCAATACTTGTATCATTATATAGTGACCTACTTTGTCTCTTTGTATAGTTTTTGTCTTAAAATCTGCTTTGTCTAATATAAATATAGCTGCTCCTGGTCATTTTTGATTTAAATTGATATGGAATATCTATTTCCATCTCTTCAGTTTGTTCCTTCAAGGCAACAGATAATTCAGTCTTTTTTTTTAAATCCATTCAGCCAGTCTATGTATTTTGATTGGAGATTTTACTCCATTTATATTTAATGTTATTATTGATAAGTAAGGACATACTCTTGCCACTTTGTTATCTGTTGTTGGGTTGTTTTGTGGTCTTCTCTTCCTTTTTTTCTTCCTGTCTTCTTTTTAGTGAAGGTAGTTTTCTCTGGTGGTATTAGTTTCTTGCTAATAATTTTTAGTTTATTCATTGTATATTTTTTGGTTTCAGGTTAGCAGGAGGCTTGCAAATACTATCTTATAACCCATTGTTTTAAGCTGATAAAAACTTAACACTGTTTCTATAAACAAACAAATAAACCAAATGAAAACTAATAAAAACTCTATGCTTTAACTTCACCACCACCCCTACCTTTTAACATTTTGTTGTTTCTATTTTATATATTTATATCTTTTTTTTTTTTTTTAGACAGGATTTCACTTTGTTACCCAGCCTGGAGTGCAGTGGTGTGATCTCAGCTCACTGCAGCCTCAAACTCCTGAGCCCAGGTGATCCTCCTGCCTCAGCCTCCCAAGTAGCTGGGACTACAGGTATGCACCACCACACCCAGCTAATTGTTTTGTATTTTTTGTGGATATGAAGATAACCATGTTGCCCAGGCTGGTCTTGAACTCTACCCACTGTGGCCTCCCAAAGTGCTAGGATTACAGGTCTGAGCAACTGGAACCAGCCTGTTTCTACTTATATCTTATTGTACTGTCTATGTCTTGTAAAGTGGTTGTAGTCATTTTGTAACTTTTATTTTAGTTTTGGGGATACATGTGAAGGTTTGTTACATAAGCAAACTCATGTCACAGGGGTTTGTTGTACAGATTATTTCATCACCAAGAAATTAAGCCCAGCACCCAATAGTTACCTTTTCTTTTTCTCTCCCTCCTCCCACCCTCCACCCTCAAGTGGACTCCAACGTTTTTTGCTTCCTTTTTTGTATTTATAAATACTCATCATTTAGCTTTCACTTATAAGTGAGAACACGCAGTATTTAGTTTTCTGTTCCTGCCTTAGTTGGCTAAGGATAAGAGCCTCTAACTCCATCCATGTTCCCTCAAAAGACATAATCTCATCCTTTTTTATGGCTTCATAGTATTCCATGGTGTATACATACCACATTTTCTTTATTCAATTGGTTACTGATGGGCATTTAGGGTGATTCCATGTCTTTGCTATTGTGAATAGTGCTGCAATGAACATTCACATGCTTATGTTTTTATGGTAGAATAATTTATGTTCCTCTGGCAATATACCTAGTAATGGGATTACTGGGTCTAATGGTAATTGCACTTTTAGCTCTTTGAGGAATCACCATACTGCTTTCAACAACAGTTGAATAATTTACACTTCCACCAACAGTGTATAAGCATTCTTTTCCTCCACAACCTTGCCACATCTTTTTTGTCTTTTAATAATAACCATTCTGACTGCTGTGAGATGGTGTTTCATTGTGGTTTTGATTTGCATTTCTCTATTGATCAGTGATATTGAGCTTTTTTAAATATGCTTTTTGGCCTCATATATGTCTTCTTTTGCAAAGTATCTGTTCATGTCCTTTGCACACTTTTTAATGGAGTTGTTTGTTTTTCTCTTGTAAATTTATTTTAATTACTTATATAATGCTGAATATTACACTTTTGTCAGATGCATAGTTTGCAGAATTTTTCTCCAATTCTATAGGTTGTCTGTTTACTCTGTTGATAGTATATTTTGCTGTGTGCAGAAGCTCTTAAGTTTCATTAGATCCCACTTGAGAATTTTTGCTTTTGTTGCAATTGCTTTTGGTCTTTGTCATTAAATCTTTGTCTGCTCCTATGTCCAGGATGGTATTACCTAGTTGTCCTCTAGAGTTTTTATAGTTTTGGGTTTTATATTTAAGTCTTTTATTCATCTTGAATTGATTTTTGTTTATAGTGAAAGAAAGGGGTCCAGCTTCAGTCTTCTGCATATGGCTAGCGAGTTATTTCAGCAATATTTATTAAATATGGAGTCTTTTCCCCATTTCTTGTTTTTGTCAGCTTTGTCAAAAATCAGGTGGTTGTAGGTGTGCAACCTTATTTCTGAGCTCTCTATTCTGTTTTATTGAAATCCAAAGCACTAAATGCCTACATTAAAAAATTAGAAAGATCTCAAGTTAACAATCTAACATTGCAATTGAAAGAATTACGGAAGGAAGGATGAATTGATCCCAAAGCTAGCAGAAGATAAGAAATAAAGTCAGAGCTGAACTGAAGGAAATGGAGACACACAAAAAAATCAAAAGATCAATAAATCCAAGAGTTGGTTTGTTGAAAAAATTAATAAGATAGATAGGCCACTAGCCAGACTAATGGAGAAAAAAAGAGAGAAGATCCACATAAACACAATTAGAAATGATGAAGGAAATTTTACCACTGACCCCACAGAAGTAAAGCTAACCATCATAAATACTATATTAACAACTCTATGCACACAAACTAGAAAACCTAGAAGAGATGGATAAATTTCTGGACACATACACCCTCCCAAGACTGAACCTGAAAGAAATTGATTACCTGAACAGAACAATAATGAGCTCCAAAATTGAATCAGTAATAAATAGCCTACCAACAAAAAGGAGCCTAGGACCTGATGGATTCACAGCCGAATTCTGTGAGATGTACAAAGAAGAGCTGGTACTATTCCTACTGAAACTATTCCAAAAAATTGAGGAAAAGGGACTCCTCCCTAACTAATTCTATGAGGCCAGCATCATCCTGATACCAAAACCTGTCAGAGACACAACAGAAAAAGAAAACTTCAGGCCATATCTTTGATGAACATCTGTGCAAAAATCCTCAACAAAATACTCGCAAACTGATTTCAGCAGCACATCCAAAAGCTAATCCACCATGATCAAGGCTTCATCCTTGGGGTGCAAGGTTGGTTCAACCTCTGCAAATCAATAAATCAATTCATTATATAAGCAAAACTAAGGACAAAAACCACATGATTATCTCAATAGATGCAGAAAAGGCTTTTGATAAAATTCAACACTGCTTCATTTTAAAAACTCTCAACATACTAGGCATTGAATGAACATATCTCTGAATAATACCAGCCATCTATGACAAACCCGCAGCCAACATTATACTAAAGGGGCAAAATATGGAAGGATTCCCCTTGAAAACCAGCACAAGAAAAAGATACCCTCTCTCACCCAGTCCTATCCAATATAGTATTGGAAGTCCTAGCCAGAGAAATTAGGCAAGAGAAAAAAGTAAGGGTCATCCAAATGAAAAGAGAAGTCAAACTATCTCTATTTGTAGGTGACATGATTCTATATCTAGAGAACCCCATAGTTTTGGCCCAAAGCTCCTTCAACTGATAAACAACTTCAGCAAAATTTCAGGATATAACATCAAAGCACAAAAATCACTAGCATTCCTATACAGCAACAACAACCAAGCTGAGAGGCAAATCACGAACTCTCATTCAAACTTGCCACAAAAAGAATAAAATACCTAGGAATAAAGGTAACTGTGGAGGCAAATCTCTACAATAATAATTACTAAATACTGCACAAAGAAATTAGAGATGACACAAACAAATGGAAAAATATCTCATGCTCATGGATAGGATGAATCAGTATCATTAAAATGGCCATACTGCCCACAGCAACTTACAGATTCAACGCTATTCCTATCAAACTACCAAGGACATTCTTCACAGAACCAGAAAGAAACTATTTCAAAATTCATATGGAGCTAAAAGAGAGCCCGAATAGCCAAGCCTATCCTAAGCAAAAATCAAAGCTGGAAGCATCATGTTACCTGGCTTCAAACTATGCTACAGGGATACAATAACCAAAACAGCACGGTACTGTTACAAAAAAAAGGATACTTTTTATTGTTTCATAATTTAGTCTTTTTACTTAAAAGAAGAGTAGTTTATGCATCACAGTTACAGTTACAGTGTTATAATATTCTGTGTTTTTCTGTGTACTTACTGTTACCTGCTAGTTTTGTTTCTTCAGATGATTTCTTTTTTTTTCTTTTTCTTTTTCTTTTTTTTTTTTGAGATGGAGTCTTGCTCTGTCACCCAGGCTGGAATGCAGTGGTGCCATCTTGGCTCACTGCAACCTCTGCTTCCCGGATTCCAGTGATCCTCCTGCCTCAGGCTCCCGAGTAGCTGGGATTACAGGTGCCTGGATAATTTTTGTATTTTTTTAGTAGAGGTGGGGTTTCGCGATGTTGGCCATGCTGGTCTCAAATGCCTGACCTCGTGATCTGCCTTCTTGAGCCTCCTAAAGTGCTGGGATTACAGGGGTGAGCCACAGCACCCAGCCCAGATTACTTCTTATTGCATATTAACATCCTGTTTATTTTTTTCTGGTGGAAGTACTCTCTTCAGCATTTCTTGTAGGACAATTCTGGTGTTGATGAATCATTTTGTTTGTCTGGGAAAGTCTTTATTTCTCCTTCCTGTTCATTGGATATTTTCACTGCGTATACCATTCTAGGGTAAAAAGTTTTTTTCTTCAACACTTTAAATATGTCATACCACTCTCTCCTGGCCTATAAAGTTTCCATTGAACACTCTGTTGGTAGACATATTAGAGCTCCATTATAGGTTATTTGTTTCTTTTCTCTTGCTGCTTTTAGGGTCCTTTCATTATCCTTGATCTTTGGGAGTTTGATTATTAAATAAATGCTTTGAGGTAGTCTTATTTAGGCTAAATCTGCTTGTTGTTCTATAACCTTTTTATACTTGGATATTAATATTTTTCTCTAGGTTTGTGAAGTTTTCTGTTATTATCCTGCTGAATAAGCTTTCTACCTCTCTTTCTCTACCTCCTATTTAAGGCCAATTGCTCATACATTTGCTCTGTTGTGGCTATTTTCTACATCCTGTAGGTGTGCTTATTGTTTGTTTTTATTTTTATTATTTTGTCTTCTCTGACTGTATTTTCAAATAGCCTCTGTTTAAGCTCACTAATTCTTTCTTCTGCTTGATTAATTCTGCTATTAAAGGAGTCTGAACGCATTGTTCAGTATGCCAATTGCATTTTTCAGCTCCAAAATTTTTGCTAGACTCTTTTAATTATATCAATCTCTTCGTTAAATTTTCCTGTTAGAATTCTGAATTTCTTCTTTGTGTTTTCTTGAATGTCTTTGATTTTGCTCAAGAAAAAAAAACAAAACAACAACAACAACAAAAACAAAAAACACTATTTTGAATTCCCTATCTGAAGGGTTACATATTTCTGTTTCCCCAGGATTGGTTCCTGATGCTTTATTTGGTTCATCTGCTGAGGTCATGTTTTCCTGGAATGTATTGAGACTTGTAAATGTTTGTCTATATATCAGCATTAGAGAGGTAGTTATTGTAGTCTTTATAGTCTGGGCTCGTTTGTTCTCATCCTTCCTGGGAAGGCTTTCCGGATATTTGAAAAGACTTGGGTGTTGTGATACAAGCTGTTTCTATTTTAGGGAGAACCCTAAGCCAATTAACACTCTGGTCCTTGCAGACTCATAGAGTTACCACCTTGATGGTCTTAGACAAGATCTCAATGAATTCCCTGGATTACCAGGCAGAGACTTTTGCTCTCTTCCCTTATTTTCTCCCAAACAAATGGAAAGAGACCCTCTTTTGGAGAAAGTAAGGGAACAGACCTGCTGGGGCTAGGGGTAGAGTGACACAAGCATCTCTGTGGCCACCACAACTAGGACTGTACTTGGTCACACCTGAACCTAGCGTTTCACCCAATGCCTACTATAACCACTCCCTGGCTACTGCCTATGTTTTCTCAAGTCCCTGGGGCTCTACAATCAGAAGGTGGCAAAGCCAACCAGGTCTTTGTCTTTCTCTTCAGGGTGGTGAGTTCCCCCAAGGCCCCACATAGGTCCAGAAGTGATTTCCAGAACCCAGGGACTAGAGTCAAAAACCTTAGAAGTCTACCTCATGTTCTACTGTACTGTGGGAAGTGGCACTCATACCATAAGACACAATCTTTCCCACTCTTCCTTCTCCTTTCCAAAGGCAGAAGAGCCTCATCCTATGTCCATCACCACCACACAGGTATGGGGATTATTGGCAGACTACTGCCAATGTTCTTTTAAGGCCCAAGAGCTCTTCAGTCCACTTGTGGTGAATGCTGTCTGGCTTAGAACTCTCCCTCAGTGCAATGGGCTCCGCTATATCCCAGGGAAGGTTCATAAATGTCATCCAGGAGCTAAATCCTGGAACTGGGAACCTCAAGAGCCTACTTAGTTTTCCACGCTCTTGCAGCCAAGCTGGCACCTAAGGTGCAAGACAAACTCCCTTTACTTTTCTCTCTACTCTTCTGAAGCAGAAGGAGTCTTGCCCCCTAGTCGCTACAGCTGGTAATGTACTGAGTGTCACCTGAAGCCAGCAAGTCTCAGAATTTCACCCAAGGCCCTGTAGTATCTGTGTATTGCTGCTGGCTATTTAGGGCCCAAGGACTCTTTGGTTAGAGGTGATGAATCCTGCCATGATTGGGTTCTTCCCTTCAAGGCATTGGGTTCCCTTTTGGACCAGGTTATGTCTTGAAATGTCATCTAGGAGCTTAGACCTCGTAGGGGGGCCTTGCTACTCTGCCCAGTGCCCTATCCTGCTGTAGCTGAGCTGGTATCTGAGAAGTAAGAAAAAGTTCTCCCCTATCTTCCCTCTGCTTTCCTCAACTGGAAGGAATGGATTCTTTTTGGAGCTGAGAGCTATACAGCCTGGGGCTAGGAGAGGGGTGATTCTAGCACTCCCTTAGCCACCCCATTGGTGTCTCAGGAGGTACAGTCATTGTGGCTTAGACTGCCATTCAAGTATATGAAGGGCCCCAGAGCACTTTAGCACAAGGTGGCGAGGCATGCATGAATTCAAGTTCCCACCACTGCTATCATCAGTGTTTCCCCTCTGGCTAG
Source organism: Homo sapiens (assembly GCF_000001405.40). NCBI lineage: Eukaryota > Metazoa > Chordata > Mammalia > Primates > Hominidae > Homo > Homo sapiens. Next base: position 83,394,297 of record NC_000010.11, read on the forward strand.
GGTTGGTTTGAAGGCTCCCTCCATGGGTGAGCATCAGCTGAGTTTGGTTCCATTTTCTTTTCTACTATAACAGGGCAGCACTGAGTTCAATACCTCACAATCACTGCGCCCTCTCTCTTCCCAGCACACAGAAACACACTCCACGCCATGCTGCTGCTGTCAGGGGATGGAGGAGCAGTAGCACTGCCAACTCAAGACAGTTTATCCTACCTCTTCAGTGCCTCTTTCAGGGAAATTGAGTTAAAACCAGGTACCATGAGTGCTCACTTGATTTTTGGTTCTTATAAAGGTGCTTTTTTGTGTAGATAGTTATAAATTAGTGTCGTGGGAGGGGATGATTGGTGGAGCCTTCTATTCTGCCATCTTGCTCCCTAGTGTATTTTGGCACAGGGGTTTTTAGAACAGTGACACTATTCTGCATGATGTTTTTCCTAGTGGATACATGACATTTATTTGTCAAATCCCGCAGTAATGTACAACACAGAAAGTAAACCCTAATGTAAAGCATGAACTTTAGTGAATAATAATAATGTATTATTATTGTTTCATCAATTGTAACAAATGTACCACAGTCATGGAATATATAAATAATAGGGGAAACTGGCAGTGGGGGCAGCAGATGAGATGGGGGAGGACATATATGAGAATTCTCTGTACTTTCTGCTCAATTTTTCTGTCAACCTGAAACAGTTCTAAAAATAAAGTCTATCTTAAAAAGAAAATGCCTTATCTTAAATGATCCTCTGACAATCTTTAGCAAATAAGCTTTATTATATCATATTACAGATGACAATACTGAACTGAAGCTCACATATTAGTAACAGAAGAAAAAAGGAACTTCTGATTTACACTGAGGTACCCATTTGAGCTATTATATCTCACCATCTAGTAAAAGATAAAAGCCTAATAGTATGTGGACAGGCATGTCCATAGACTCTAGAGCTGTTTTGTCCAATACAGTAATGACTAGACACATCTTTATGGCCTGCCCTAAGTTGTTGTCAGAATGTGGAGGTTAGAGAAGTCCCTTAGGAACATAATTGAGAGGAAGAATCTTATCATAGAAGAGACAAAAACAAAGAGAGAGGACACTAGCTACAAAATTCTTAGGATTAAGGGCATTTGTAACTTTCCCACTGTGCTGTTTCTATTACCTTTTTAGTTGCAATATTTCTTAGGTCTGAAAATAACTTTAATTAAATTTCTCTGCAGTACTTGTTAAAGATACAAATTCCTGGGCTCCCAATGAAGTACTAACAGTTTCATTCTCTATGGACAGATTCTAGGAACCTGTAATCTTAACATGTTCCTTAGGTAATTCCTTCAAATAATTTAAAAATTTTCTCTTTTAGCTGGAAGAAAATCCTTAAAATAAATAGTGCTCAATTTTTTTTTTTTTTGGTCATTTTGGTGATGGGAAGGGTGACCAGGACACCGATGACTCTAGTAGATGATGGAATAATTAATAAAAAGGAAAAGTCCTGGGTCCTTAAAACCTGCAGAAATGAAAGACAGATTGTTTGTGTAGTTGTGGGGATGAGTGGGGATATATAAACAAGATTGAGACAAAAGGGGAAAGTTTTGGAGCTGTGTAATAACACATTAATACAATAATATATTGAGTATTAATGCAGGATATGTGGAATAATACATTCCATTGTATTTCCCAATAGCATCTATTTATCTAGGTGATATTTTTCATGTTGACTTCTAGATGCAACATAATGTAAGAGAAAAAAAACAGAGAGAGCTGGGTTTTTTTTTTACTATTAATATTGCTCTGCCTCTTCAAATTTAGGTGATAATGGCCCAATCATTTGACCTCACTAAATGTCAACTTCTTCAAATGTAAAATGAGTATGAGAAGAGCTTCTTTACTTTACTAGGTTAGGGCTTCCCTACCTCACAAGTTTAGGTTAGATAATTGGTAGAGTACCACATTAACAAATGTAAAGTGATACCTGAATATAAGCTATCACAATAATGTCAGGGTTAAAATAATGCCTTGGGGTAGGAAATGGCAGACAGCAGCAGGATTTAAAAAAGAGTAGACAGTGAATTATCAGCATTTTCTCTCTTCTTTCCTACTAGCATCTTGGGCTTTGTTGATGACTTTGTACTTAATAGCCATATTAGAGGGAAACAAATTATGTCTCTAATTACCTTAAACTTAATAACAAAATCAAATCATCTGCCTCCATTTCAGATTACCATTTATTTCCAAAGCAATGACTCTGAAGTCTTAGAATGCCTTCAGTACAGTGGGGTAAATGAAGCCTGGAGAAGGCATCCTAGGATGTTACTTTTCGTTCCATACTTTCCATGGGTCCGGAGCTTTCTAGGAGAATTAAATAGAAAGCATCGATTCAGCACTTCCCAGCCACAAAAATGGGGATTTCATCTAAATGGCCCATGAAGCTGTTTCACGTTAAATGCTCTCTTGTGTAGAATCTTTGTTAGAGGAAACATTATGGGACCATTTACATAGCAATTATTTCTAGTCAGGTGTAAAGAGTAACCTCATCTACTTTAGGAAACTGTTATGAAGTTCACTTAGTCTCCAACCTTCTTTCGTATGTCACCACACTTCAACATGCATGTTGTCTGGCAGAGTCAATATCTTGATACCTTGTATTAATAAGCTCTTAGAGGATCACAACTGTCTTGGAAGGGGAAAGATAGAGTGTTTCCAGAAAAGCCTGCTAGAATTTGAGGGAATTTGCTCATTATGAGTCAGGTAGCATTCTCAAATATTTCACATGAGTACTGACATTCATCCTTTCTGGGGTTCCTGGCAGATATCGACTATTTTTATGGAATTCTTTCTCACTGAATGAAGCAAGTCCTCAGAGTCCTCCTCAAGACTAGACTATACTTATACACTAGTAGTTAATCAGAGTTGGCATAAGAGGTAAAAAACTGTTTTATAATTTTGGATATGGAAATCTCACAGGCTTTAAAATCCAAGCAAACCTCTTGTAAATAATGGCTTCGAATACCTATATAATGACTCTTATTCCTAAAATGAGGTAATAATATCTACAATATAAGGTTTTTGTGAGGAATGAGTGAGTGCACACGCATACATGCACACACATGCCTAGACATAATCACACTCAGACATACAGCCACTCAGATGTTATTTCACACACTATACATATCGGCAGAACTGTCTCCTTCCAGTATGATCACTTGGAAAGACGAGGCCAAGCCAATAGACTGATTTGTACTCTAAATGTTCCAGCATACTCAATAAAGTCAGGTCCTGGCATCAGTAACTGTGGTAGTTGCCATTGACAATCCTAGGTATTAAGATATTATCCACCTTATTTAAGAATAAAAAATAGCTGGGCATGGTGGCTTGTGCCTGTAGTCCCAGCTACTTGGGAGGCTAGGTGAGAGGATTGCCTGAGCCCAGGAGTTTGAGGCCAGCCTGGGCAACATAAAGAGGTCTCTCTCTCACTCTCTCTCTCTCTCTGTCTTCCTATTTCCTACCGCAAAGCATTATTTTACCCCTGACATTATTGTGATTGTGATAGCTTATATTCAGCTGTTACTTTATATTTGTTAATGTAATATTCCACCAATTATCTAACCTAAACTTGGTATTAGTCTAACCCAGTGAAAGAGTGAGAAAGAGGCAAATGACTTAATTACTAGACCCCAAAGGAAAGGAAAAATAACACAGTAGATAAAATCCAGTGTTTATAGAACCATTTACGCAACACCATGAGAAAATTTGAAAAAATCCAGAAGGTAGGAAATTTAACATGACAGCTGTCCTGAATGCTTCCCAAAGTCAATATTGTAAGCAAAAAAAAAAAAAAAAAAAAGGAGTGGAATTGGTCTTCCAAAGAGATTAAGGAGATATCTAACTCTAATGGAATATGTGAAACTTAATTGAATTTTAATTCAAAAAACAACTATTAAAATATATTTTCAAAAGCAACTGGGAAAATTTGGAGATGAGCTGGATGTTAGTAAGCCTGTATTTCCTTGGGTCTAATACTAGTGTTATAATTGTGTGTGGGAGAATACCCTAGTATTTAGAGTCATTATACTTGAAACTGATTTTCAAATTATTCAGCAGAAATACACACAACACCTCCCTGAAAACCAGACAACGAAACACACAAGTACTACATTATATTGAAAAATCAAATATAGAAAAATGTTAATAGTAGTTGATAAGTGGTGGATATATGGATGTTCATTATATTACTCTTTCAACTCCTCTATATGTTCAAAATGTCTCAAAATAATAAATTTTTAAAAAATTGAAGTTATATTGCCTCAGTTTGAATGCTGGCTTTACTTCTTATGTACATGGCCCTGGGCTGGGGACTTTACTATTTTGTACCTCATACTTGTCACCTGGTATTGGAAATAATAATAGTGTCTTTCTCAGTCATTATTATAAAAGCCAATGATCTAATGCATGTGTAGTTCTTAAAACAGTGCCTGAAATGTTAACTTTCACTACAGAATAGAGAAAGGCTGAAGGAAGTGCTGATCTCAAGTAGAAAACTGGAAGGAGAACATTGCAAATAGTACAGCTTCTCCTTCCTCTCTATCCTGTCCATCCCAAATCTCAAGCACTTATGATATCCAAAACAGAACATCCACATTCTTCAAAATGTGTAAGTTATGCCTTAGTTAAATTCAGTTCCAATTAACTACTTTATAAAGAGTTCTTCCCTATCTACAGGAGACTGTGGGAATCACAGCATTGTTACTGAGATCTGCAACCCTCTCCCAAGTCCCGCACTTCCAGCTGCATTGCCTGCTCCTCGACTGCTCTGAATTTCTGTGTTCTCCTTGCCTGCTTTTGATTGCTGGAGTTGTTAATTTTGTTAAAAATTCAAGTATGTATTTAAAATTTTATTATTGTAGATACAACTTTTCAATGTGTTTGTAAAGGGAGAATTTTCAGGATATCTCATGTCACATTGCCAGTAATAATATCTAAGTGAGCATAAAAGGGCAGAAAATGTTCCTGTATGTCATTACTCGGGTCTGAAAAATTAAAACAGGGACTCATTATGTATGCAACCAAAGTTATTTCAGGTCCCCCAAACAGGATAAATCAAAGAGCTTTTGCTTCCCCAGAAATATAAATATAAAGGAAAATGTCACTGACACTTGGAAAATATATATTAACTTGAAATAAGCCTTGTGTTACAGATTGGGAAATTATCAGATTATAACACATAGGTAAAATCATGAAGTTGAATAAAATTATTGTAAAAAAAATCATGCAGAGTAGAAGATAAAAATATGGGGAGAATTTGGAAAATTTCAAATTTCAGTGGCAGAAACAGCAGCTACTACAGAGGTTGAAAGGAAATATTTTATAACACATGTATACATACACATGTCTATGCACATACATATAGACACACATATATATATGCATACATTATATTCACACAGAGTGAACTTTACTAGAAATAGGTAATTTAATTTTGTAGGTCAAAAGAGTGTTGGGTTTTATATAGCAGGGAGACCTTAAAATTTACAAACAAAAGAGACAGTAATTAAGATAAAAATTGAGAAGCAGTCATTGGACTTCATCAATAGGGAATAATTGATAACCCTTATGAGATGAGTTTTAGTAGAATAATGGATAGGTGAAAATGTAGTGGATTGATATAAGCAGAAATACAAAATAAATTATGGAATTCATACCTGTTCTTTCCTGTAATCTAGAAACAAGCATACAAATCTTACTGTATATCACCTTTAGATTTCACATAAGCTTCTCAAAAATTAATACATCCCAAACTAAATTTGCTCTGTCTCCGTCTTTTCTTCTCCCTCCAACCCCTGAAATTGCCCTTCTCCAATACTCTGTATCTCAGTTAATGTCACTACTGTGCATTCCATTTGTAATATAAAAACTGTTCAGTTGAAGATGAGAGTAGATAGCGAGACTTTAACAGCTTCTAAAGCACTCACTCATGCAAGTAGGGGTAGTTCTACCATTTTCTGGTTAGTACAAGCCTTCAGTCTGTGGAGGCAGAAAGGAGGGATAAAACCATTTTTACAAAATTTTCAACCTGCCATTTTGTTACACATGGCTTGTTGAAGGGATTGATTGCAATCCTTATCTTGGTTTCATAGCTGTAGAGTCAATACTTTTCCCAGATTTAGACAAGCAGTTGGGTCTTACTCCTGGGGCTGTTTTATTTTTATCTTTCTCAAATGCTTCATAAATATTGGAGCAGAATGTATATCTATGGTCAGCTAGCTAAACGTTATTTTGCACTAGAAGTCACCCCTCTGATTTATTTCTTTTCCTCAAATACAGTGTGTGTATATATATATGTATTTATATATCTTTAGGTTTCCAAATAAGTTAATTAAGGTATTGATTAGGATTGCACTATTCTGTAATTTAATTTTGGAATTTGTATACCAAATACACTGATGATATCATTAAAGAAAGTATCAACTCGATCAACTTGTTCAAAGCCAAGATGTGATGTAACTCTTTTAGTGGTAATAGGATAAGCAAATATATGCAGTCAATTGCACAAAGGGGAAGAAAGTACAATAGAATCAAGAAAAGGATGTAGTTTCCAGGTCCCCAACATCCCCCATAAGTGTGTAGAGTTGTGACTGATACCCCTCTGGCGAAGTGGCAGTTCTGCCAGTTTTCCCTTCCTGATCACTTTCCACTTTACTTCCTTACCCTTCTGGTGAGTACCTGCCTTTCTGCTCAGCAAGTATAACAAATAGTTTCATGGCAACCCCAGCTTATCCCTCAGTGTTCCCAGGGAGACAGGGCAGAGCAGGTCAATTTTTTTAGAAGCACCCTCAGCAGCCCAAGCTCCAGTTGTTGAGAGATCCATTGAAAAAAAAAAAAATGGGCTGGGTGCAGTGCCTTATGCCTGTAATCCCAGTGGTTTCGAAGGCCTGCACAGGAGGATTGCTTGAGGCCAGCAGTTCAGCCAGGAGTTCAAGTCCAGCCTGGACAACAGAGCAAGACCCTTATTTGAGAGAGGGAGAGAGAGAGAAAAAGAGAGGGAGAGAGAGAATAAGAGAGATCCAGTTCAAAATATTCCTCTTCAGAAAATATCTTTACATTTGTTCATATCTTCTTTCAACTCTTTCCTTAAAAGTGGTTTGTTTCTGCAATCCCATAGACTCTGTATATTTCTTACTATAATTATAACTAGGGAATTTATGGTTTTGTAGCAAGTTCAAAGAGATTCCTTATTTTCTATATATCTTGTAATGGAATATTGATTTTGTTTATAAATGCTTATTACATATAAATACCCCCTTTCCTATCACTATGTAACCTATAAAACTATTTAACAACCTGCTGCCCTCAGTCAAAATCTTCCCTCTACCTGCTTTTACTGCCTCTCCTCCCTTACAACATTGGAGGTAAGGCAGGAAATAGAATAAGCAGCAAAAATGGGACATGTTACTTGCTTAAAAAGGGGATATAGATGGCTTCAATAATTGGATGGAAATAGCAGTGAGTTGTTTAAAAAGAAAAATAAGGAAAAAAAAAGCTTGGTGTTATTAGAATTTTTTAAGTTATGTATTTTTTTCCTCAAATTAAATTTTCCCTCACATATTTTTTCCTGCTAGAGAAAAGGTTTTATAAGATCACAAAGGTTTTATAAGATCAAAAATTATAATTATATGTGTATATGTATGTGTATATATATGCAAATATAGAGTATCTCAGGGAAATAACACAAGGAACTTTTAATCATGTTTTTTCTTTTTTATATTTTATTTTTAAAATATATACAAATTTTATTATATTTGTCAATTATATCTCAATAAAGCTAGAAAATGTTTTCACTTTATTTTTTAACTAATTTTAGATTTAGGGGTAGATGTGCAGGTTTATTATATAGGTAAATTTCATGTTGCAGAGGTTTGATGTACATATTCTTTCATTACCCAGGCAATAAGCATAGTACTTGATAGATAGACTTTTGATCCTGAACCTCCTCCCTCTCTCCAACGTCAAGTGTCCCCTGGTGTCTATTGTTCCTTTCTTTGTGTCACAGTGTACTCGATGTTTAGCTTCCACTTATAAGCAAGAACATGTGGCTTTTGGTTTTCTGTTTCTGTGTTAGTTCATGGAGGATAATGGCCTCCAGCTCCATCCATGTTCCTTGGATATTATCATATCCTTGATAATATCATATCAAGGATATGATATTATTCTTTTTATGGCTGTATAGCATTCCGTGGTGTATATGTACCACATTTTCTTTATCCAGTCTACCAGTGATGGGCATCTAGGTTGATTCCATGTCTTTGCCATTATGAATAGTGCTGCGATAAACATACATAGGCAGGTGTCTTTGTGGTAGAATGATTTATATTCCTTTGGTTATATACCCAGTAATGGAATTTCTGGATCAAATAGTAATTCTGTTTTAAGTTCTCTGAACAATCGCCAAACACTTCCCACAGTGGCTGAACTAACTTGCATTCTTTAGTTTAATTAGGTGTCATTTGTCAATTTTTGTTTTTGTTGCAATTGCTTTTGGCATTTTCTTTATGAACTTGTTGCCAGGGCCCATGTCCAGAATGGTATTTTATGTTTTTTACCAGAATTTTTATAGTCTTAGGTTTTACATTTAAGTCTTTAATCCATCTTGAGTTGATTTTTGTGTATGGTGTAAAGATGAGGTTCAATTTCAATCTTCTGCATATGGCTAGCTAGTTATCCCAGCATGATTTATTGAATAGGGAGTCTTTTCCCCATTGCTTGTTTTTGTCAACTTTGTCAAATATCAGATGGTTTTAGGTGTGTGGCTTTATTCCTGGGATCTCTATTCTGTTCCATTGATTTATGTGTCTGTTTTTGGACTGGTACCATGATGTTTTGGTTACTGTAGCCTTTTAGTATAGTTTGAAGTCAGGTAATGTGATGCCTCCAGCTTTGTTCTTTTTGCTTACAATTGTCTATTCAGGCTCTTTTTTAGTTGCATTTGAAATTTAGAATAGCTTTTTCTAATTCTGTTAAAAATGTTGCTGGTAGTTTAATAGGAATAGTATTGAAATAATTTGTTTTGGGCAGTATGGCCATTTAAACAATATTGATGTGTCCTATCCAGAAGTATGAAATATTTTTGCACTTGTGTCATCTCTGATTGCTTTCAGCAGTGCTCTTACATATTTTTAATGTTTAAACACGCTAATTTTTAAAACAGATATTCAGTAATTTCAAGAATTTTGAATACTAGGAAGTCTCTCTCATATAAAGTCTACCACTGGAAGTAGTCTAAACCCAATTTAAGAACAGGTATTTTAAAAAATTAGCTTCTCTTTACACTGCCATCATGACTTCCAGCCAATCTTTTTGGCTCTGCCCTCTCAAGCTATTAAGATAAAATTTTTGCTAACATTTATATATTCAGCAGCAAAGGTCATGGTGTCTACAATTTCACATCTTCTAGTGACAGCTTTGCAGGTCACTTCAATTTGTCCAAACAGTACTCTGTCTTGAGTTTCTGCCTTGCAAGTGTCTAAGGATGGTAAATGCACAATAAACAGGATGAAAGAGCCTAAAATGAGAGTCAAGGAGTCTGCTTTTTATGATTATATACAAACAGACCTGATTTTGAAATATCTGCTAAACATTAAAAGCCAAGTTCTAGATTCCAATGTTTAATTATGAATATATTATATTTTTTAAAACAGAGAGATACTATCTCATCCTTACATCCTTACTGTCCTGCAATCCTCTCTCAAGGCATACTGTCTGTTCTGGAAAAACAAAACAAAACAAAGCAAACAAACAAACAAAAAAAATGGAAAAAATGAGAAAGACATTGTTGAAAATTCACTTTAAGAAGAAGTTGTTTTCTAACTTTAAATAGATAATTATAATTACATAGATATATGTTATTGTGTTAGTCTGTTCTCACACTGCTATGGAGAATTACCTGAGAATTGGTAATTTATAAAGGAAAGAGGTTTAATTTGTTCACCATTCTTCATTGCTGGGGAAGCCTCAGGAAAATTACAGTCATGGCGGAAGGCAAAGGAAAAGCAGGCATCTCCTTCACAGGGTGGCGGGACAGCGTGAGTGCAAGCAGGGGAAATGCCAGACACTTTATAAAACCATGAGATCTCCTGAGAACTCACTCACGATCACAAGAATAGCATGGGGGAAACCACCCAAGATCCAGTTTTCCCTCCACCTGGTCCTACCCTTGACACGTGAGGATTATGGGGATTACAATTTGAAATGAGGATTTGGGTGGGGATACAGAGCCAAACCATATCAGTTATACATATTATACATATATGTTATATATATGTATATAACTTATACATAGACGTTATATACGTATATAACTTTTACGTTATATACGTATATAACTTATACATATATGTTATATATAATTCAGATGAAATCACTACTGCTAATCCAAATACCTTACCACTTGCTGAGAAGTAACAGAACAGAATATCATGGATTTTGAGTAAAGCAGAGCTAAGCTGGATGCTTGGCTTTTCTATATTTTTATTTTTTCTGGGTATATAATAGGTGTATTTATTTATGAGGTACATGAAATGTTTTGATACAGGCATACAATGCCTAATAATCACATCATGGAAAACAGGTATCTATCCCCTCAAGCATTTATCCTTTGTGTTACAAACAACCCAATTATACTCTTTTAATTACTTTAAAATATACAATTATTGTTGACTACAGTCACCCTGTTGTGGTATCAAATAGTAGGTCTTATGCATTCTTCTCATTTTTTGTACCCATTAACCAACCCACATCCTCCTTGCCCCCCAGTACCCTTCCCAGCCTCTGGTAACCATCCTTCTACTCTCCATGTTCATGAGTTCAATTGCTTTGAATTTTAGATCCCACAAATAAGTGAGAAAATATGTTTGTCTCTGTTCTGGCTTATTTCACTTAACCTAATGATCTCCAGTTCCATGCATGTTGTTGCAAATGACAGGATCTCATTCTTCTTTATGGCTGAATAGCATACAACTATTGCTATATAAATTTGGAAAAGATACTTAGCCTTTCTGAGTCACAGTTTCTTCTTCTGATGAAAGACAATAATTGTGCAGATTTCAGACTTTCCATGGGTTGATGAAATTAAATGTAGTAATGCACAGAAAGGGCCTAGCATAGTGCCTGGTACAGAGGAGGGGTGCAATAAGGGTTAGCATCACTTACTAATTACTTACATTAGCTACTAGATGGATTATAGAATAATGATTAAGGTTTTGCAGTAAGACTTCCTCGGTGCAAATCCCAGCTTCACTACTTAGTGTTTATGGGATAAGGTACAAATTACTCAAGTTCTCTATTTCTTTGTTTCCTCATTTGTAAAATAGGAATAACAATAGTTTTTAATATGATGAAACTGTTCCCAGAATTATTTAATTGATACTTGAGAAAGTTGGAGCACTTCATAGAATATTATGTAATAAATGTTAGTTACTGTTGCACCAATAATGCATATGAAGTGGATGCCAATATTCTCACCAATCTTTATAAGTAGAAGCAATAGACAGAAGAATGTTCTGTACAGATGAGATGAAAATACCCACACAAAAGATGGGTTTCTGATCTTGAATCTGCTGCTTAAAATCTATGAGATGTTCAAAATACTTCTCATCCTTGTACTGGTTTCCTTAGCTGTAAAATGAAAGGTTTGGGCTTACAGCTTCGGTTATTAATGACTTTAGAAAATTCGATAGTACAGGTACTCAATACATGTTTAATTATGTTTTAAAATAGTGACTAAAATGGGAAAGTATATGCAAAGGTAATAGATGTTGTTTTTTCTTATCCACTTTGTGGCAGATAGTATTGAAGGCATTTGGCATACATTTTCAAAACTTAATCTAAAAATCTAAAATATTGGAGATTATCATTCCCAGCTTTTCAAACTATGGAATTAAAACTCATGACATTAATATTTTTTCCCAAAGTAATAGATAATAAACAACAGATGCAGTATTTTTTCTGTCTTAATCCAAAGATCACATTTCTATGATATCTCCTGGTAAAATGTACATTATTATGCTGTGGGAAAAGTTGATAAAATTTATGAAGTATATTTATTTTTTCTTGCTGCTATAACAAATTACCACAAAGCTAGTGGTTTTGTATAGCACGAATTTATTATCTTACTGATCTGTAACTCAGAAGTTCCAAGTTCTGTAACTTTCCAATGCAGGTTTCACTGAGCTAAAATGAAGGCACTGGCAGTGCTGCATTTCCTTGTGGAGGCTTTAGGGAAGAGTCAGTTTCCTTGCCTCTTCTAGCTTCTAGAGGCTACCTGCATTCTTTGACTCACGGCCCTTTCCTCCATTTTCAAAATCAGAAACATTGCATCTCTATGACCATTCTTCCATACTAAAAGATCCTTCTGGGCATCACAGCATGGAAAGGTTATTTGATTTTAAATACCCTTGTAATTAGATTGGACTCTCCCCAGGTAGCCTATGACAATCTCCCATCTGTCAGGTCCCTTTTGCCATTCAAAGTAACATACACAAGTTTCAGGGATTAAGACATGGACATCTTTGGCCATCGCATTCTGCCTCCCACAAGTAAAGTTGACATCAAAAGCACGTTCAATAAAAAGAAACATTGAAATAAAATTAAATCTTTTGCTCTGTCAAAGACACTAGTAAGAGGATAAAAAATAAATAAAACATTTTCTATGGGAGAAAATGTTGGCAAATGACACGTCCCATTGAGGACTTATAGATTGAATATTTAAAGAATTGTCAAAATCCAATCACAAGAAAAGAAGCACATTACAATATGGGCAAATATCTGAATAAATATTTTACAAAAGAAGATACACAGTGGCCAGGCATGGTGACTCATGCCTGTAATCCCAGCACTGTGGGAGGCCGAGGCGGGTGGGTCAGCTGAGGTTGGGAGTTCAAGAGCAGCCTAGCCAACATGGTGAAACCCCATCTTTACTAAAAGTACAAAAATTAGCCTGGTGTGGTGGTGCATGCCTGTAATCCCAGCTACCTGGGAGGCTAAGACACAAGAATCAGTTGAACCCAGGAGGCAGAGGTTGCAGTGAGCCAAGATCACACCACTGTACTCCAGCCTGGGTGACAGAGTGAGACTCTGTCTCCAAAAAAAAAAAAAAGATACATGGATGGGATGGCACATAGCCTGTGAAAAGATGCTGGACATAAATAATCATTAGGGAACTGTAAATTTGATCCACACTAATATGTCATTACACACATATGAGAATAGTTATTTAAGGAACAATAACACCAATGATGATAATCATAATAACATTATGTAATTACATGATATTATTTTAATAATTATAAACACAGGCAATACCAACAACTAGTGATGATGCCAAGTGCCTGGAAATCTCATTTATTGCTGCTGCGAATGAAAAATGGTACAGCCAGTACAGAAAACAGTTTGGAGTTTTCTTAGAAAGTTAAACATACCATACGATCCATAACTCCTGCTCCTAGGTGTTTATTTACCTTAGAAAAATAGAAGGCAAAATTTCTAATTGTGAGGCTGAGTGTTGATGGCATGCCCCATTTTGCACACAAAGTTTCAGCAAACACAGGACTTATTAGTTTCAGAGTTTTAAGGAAATATCTTTCTATTTATTAGTTGACCACTAAGCTGACCAAACACAGACTTCAGTGCCTATACATGACAAATATAGACTTTTGAAGAATTAGTTTTAAAAAGGTGCTAAATTAAAAACAAACTGTAGTAGCAAACATGACAAAACTGGGAAGGGAATATTTGATTTCTAGACTTGCAATTATATGGTTGAAAATTTCCATTTGCTTTGTTATTCAACAACAACAACAAAATAAGACACATGGAGAAGCAAGGAAGTATGATCTATAAATTAAACAAAAAAACAATCAGCGGGTACTGTCACTTAAGGAGACTCTGACATTGCACTTACTAGGCAAAGATCTAATGGGTTATTTTAATACGTTCAAATAACTATAGGAAATTCAGGAATTTGAGAGCAGCCTGAGCAACAGAGTAAGACCATATTTCTACAAATTATTTTAATTATCCTGGTGTGGTGGCATGCACCTGTAGTCCTAGGGGCTCAGGAAGCTGAGGCAGGAGGATCACTTGAGCTCAGAAGTTCAAGGTTACAGTGAGCTATGATTATGGCAGTGCTCTCCAGCATGAACAATGGAGGAAAGAAAAAGAAAGAGGAAGGAAGGAAGGAAGGAAGGAAGGAAGGAAGGAAGGAAGGAAGGAAGGAAGGAAGGAAGGAAACAGAGCTCAGAGTCCTCTAGGATTCCAAAACTATACAAACATCACATAATAGGAGTTTCAAAAACAGTAGAGTCTGAAGAGAGTATTTAAAGAGAAATAATAGCCAAAACCTCCTCATATTTGATTTAAAAAATTAATCTACACATGGAAGAATCTCAATAAATTCCAGGTAGGATAAACTCAAAAAGGTACATATCTAAACATGTCATAATTAACCTGTCAAATAACAAAGACAAAGAGAGAATCTTGAAAACAACATTTTTAAGAGATAAGCAACTGATCACGTGTGAGGAATCTACAATAGGAATAACAGCTGGATTTTTTATCAGAAATTATGGAAGCCAGAAAGCAGTAGGGATAGGAAAGAGGGAATAAAGGGGGGGAGAAGAAAAGACAGGAATAAAACAAATAATACTATATTCAGCAAAATTGTTATTTAAAAATAAATGAGAAATTAAGACCTTTCTATATTTTTAAAAAACTGACAGAATTCATTGCTTGCCTTATAGAGAATGCTAAGTACAGTCCTCCAGAGTCCTTTAGAACACCATTAGATAACATTAAAAAATTCAGAAGAAATAGACAAATTCCTAATACATATATCTATGAAAACTAATGCAAGAAGAAATGTAAAATGAAAATAGACTCATACAAGTAAAGAAATTGAAATAGTAATGTAAAAATCCCGAAAAACAAAGAAAACACTTTTCACAATGAAAAGCCTAATCCAAAATGACCTCCTCCATGGATTCTCCCAAATATTTAAAGAAAATTAACATCAATTCTTCACAAGCTCTTACAAAATGCAGAAGAGGAGAGAACACTTCCCAACTCGTTTTCTGAAGTCAGTGTTCCTTTTATTTCAAAACCAGACAGTGACATGACAAGAAGAAAAAAACTGCATTTATCCCTTATAGATCTGAAAATCCTCAAAAAATACTAAAAAATAAAGCAAATCTAACAACACATAAAAAACGATTATACCCTACACACAAGTGGGATTTATTCTAGGTATGTTAAGATTGATTCAACCTATCAAATCAATATAATAAATAATAGAAAATAGAGGAAAAACAAATGATCATCCTAAAGGGAGAAGAAACATTTGACACAACCCAATATTATCTAATGATTTCAAAACAACAACAACAAAACAAACTTGGAATAGAAAGGTATTTCCTTAGCCTAACAAAGGGCATTTATGAAAAACCCACCAGTAACATCATACTTAGTAATTCAAGACTGAAATATTTCCCCCTAAGTTTAGGAACAATACAAAGATGTTCACTCTCACCGCTTCTATTGAACATTTTACTAAACATGCTATCCAAGGCAATTAAGCGATAAAAAATAGTTGTCTAAATTTGAAAGAAGGAAGTAAAATTAACTCTAGTCACAGATGACATAATCTCACATATAGAAACCCATAAAGAATACACAATAACAACTATTGGAGCTAATAAGAGAGTATAGCAAAGTTGCAGTACATTGAATCAACAAACAAAAATCATCAGTTGTATTTCTAGACAACAGCAATGAATCATCTGAAAATGAAATTAAAGACAAACAATTCTATTTACAATAGCATCAAAAATAATAAAATACTTAAAAATAAACTTAACCAAGGAAGTTCAAGACTTGTACAATGAAAACAACAAAATATTGCTTTAAAAAAGAAAACCCAAATAAATGAAAGATATCCCATATTCATGAATTAGAAAACATTATTCAAATTGATAATATTCTCAAGATTGATCTACAGTTCACTGTTGTACCTTTCAAATTTTTAATTGCCTTTTTAAAAAAAATTAACAATCTTTTTAAAGAGTTTTATGAAAATACAAGAAACATAGGATAGCCAAAACAATCTTGAACTAGAAGAAAGTTGGAGAACTCACACTTTCCAAGTTCAAAACGTATTACAAAGCTACAGTAATCAAGTCAGTGTGATAATGGAATAAAGATAGAAATATAAATCAAATAAAATGAAAGAGAGTTCAAAATTAAATCTATGTAACTATACCAATGAATTTTTAACAAGGCTTCCAAGATCATTAAACAGGAAAAATAGTCTTCTCAACAAATGGTGCCAAAACAACTGGAAATCCACATGCAAAAGAATAAAGATGGAGACCTACCTCATACTATATTCAAAAATAACTCAAAATGGATCAAGGATCAATATGTAAGAACTAAACTATAAAACTCGGATGACATCATAAGGGTAAATATTTATGAACTTGAATTATGCAGTGACTTCTTAAACCAGGAGTAACCAAAGGAAAAAATAATTAAATTGAAATTCACGAAAATTAAAAACTTTTGTACATCAAAATACACTATCAAGAAATTAAAAATACAAACCATAGAATAAGAGAAAATATTTGCTGATCATATATCCAATAGAAGTCTAGAGTCTAGAATATATAAGGACTCTTACAACTCAATAACAAGATAAATCCAATTAAAAGTGGGCAAAGAGCTTGAATAGAGATTTTTTCCAAAGAAGATGTACAAAAGGCCAATAATCACATGGACAGATGCTCAACATTATTAGTTACTAGGAAAATACAACTCAAAACTGCCTGAAATACAACTATACACAATTATAATAGTTATAAAAAAAGATAGCATCATGTATTGGGAAAGAAGTGGAGAAACTGAAACCCTCGCTGATAGTGGAAACCTAAAATAAAATGGCATTATGAAAACTACTTTGCCAGTTTTTCAAAAAGTTAAAGATAGAGTTACCATAAGAATCAGCAAATTCAGCCTTAAATATATATTCAAGAGAGTTGAATATATACATCTATTCAAAAATTTGTATATGAATGTTAATAGCAGTATTACTCTTAACAGTCAAAACTTGAAAGCAACTCAAATGTCCACCAACTGAAGACTAGATAAACAAATGGGGTATGCCCATGCAATGGAATATTTTTCAGCCATAAAAAGGAATTATATATTGATACATGCTATAACATAGATTAATCTTGAAAACATGCTAAGAGAAAATCTAATCTCTGAAAACCACATATCATATTCCAGTTATCTGAAATGTCCAGAATAAGCAAATCGATAGAGACAAAAAGTAGGTTAGTAGTTGCCAGGTGCTGGAAATGGCTGCTAATGGGTATGGGGATTATTTCTGGGTTAATGAAAATGTTTAGATTTAGATAGTTGGGATAGTTTCATAATTTTGTGAATATACTAAAAACCACTGAATTGTATACTTTATAGTGAATGTCTTGGTATGCTAATTCTATCTCTATTGAGAACAAAACATAAGCCAACATTTATAAATTTCAGAAACAACATAGGTTGAGAACCTCAGGTGATGTGGCGTTCCTTTGAACTATAATGTTGAATTTGGAGGAATTTTAGGATTTCTCTATTCTACCTCCATAGACTCATTAATTATTAACTCTAGGTTTGCTTCAAAATGATTAATGATAGTGCAGAAATAAGATCCAGTAATACCATTTTTGTTTGTAACTTGGAATCAACTTAGGATACAAAATAGCATTCGTTTAACAGCTACTATGTGAACGCCAGCGAAGATAAACACATTTTTAACAAATATAATCCTTTGGGAAAGAAGAATATTATCTTCATTTCACAGATTTTAAAATGTGGGTCAAATTGATACCAAAGTGAAAGACCTGACAAAGGGCAAGGATAGGATTTGACATTGACATATTTTGCATCTAACTACATCCTCCTCCTACTTTTTAATACTTTTACTACAATGTTTACACTTTATCCCCATCCATGTGGAAATATAAAATGTGGGCATTTGAATTAAGGCCCTGTTATAGCCATAGAACACTATTAACACCATGTTATCACTGTCAACATTTATGAGTTGTTTAATTGGCATATTATGTACAGTCAGGTGGGGGTAGAAGGGCCAACATATCACAATATGATAAACATAACAGAATTCTTCAGTTTCTATACAACTAATCACAACAAGATGTGGATGTAACACTTCTGAGGAAAAAACAATCACAGGGGGATATCTTCTGCACCATGAAAAGCCTTCATGGCTTCATTTCAGGAGGACAGATTACCCTCTGCTCTCCAACTGCTTGAAGGTTGAGTTTCTGGCTTAGGCAGCTTCAGATAATTGAACCTAATAGCTGTTGTTCTGTGGCCTTTGGTCCTTTCCCCAAAGAAATATGTATGGATATAATAAAGAGTTACTTCTAGACAGATATGTAGACTGTTTATGCTATATTCATGATTTGTTAAATAATTTTATATTAAATATAATTTGGAAAGTCTGCCTATTTACTGCACTATATCAAAGCCCCTAGTGTGAATGCACAGTGGTTCACAGTATCTTATCTTCACTTTTAACTCTGTAAAGTCCAAAATCAGGCATAATCTCAGTAATTTTTATCCACTAAACTTCCTTCTGTAGATGTTTCTATTCTTGGAAATATTTATGGGTACTTTAATGTGAATTAGGAAGAGAGCTTTCCTGACATTTTCCCACAAATTATCAGCCTGCTATGCAAGCAAGTAGAAAGTTACACAATGAAAATGAAGATGCTAGGTTTCCAAGCCTAAGGATCAAATTTAGAAATATGAGTATATTATTTACCAACTAAAATTGAGAAAATGTTACATAGAAATTCTAAGATCAATAAGCAGATTGATCTGCATGTAAAAGATGAATATAAGCAATAACAATCATAGAGAGAGAATGGTACCTGAGTTTCTTGTATAGAGCCACCCTGTCAAAACTTTGGTGGCTACAAAATTAGCAACAGAAGAAAGTTGCATATATATATATATGGCTGTGCATATGTGTGTGTGTGTGTGTGTGTATATATATATATATATATATATATATATGCTCAGCCATACTTTTCCAGGTAGATACTAATGTTT
Source organism: Homo sapiens (assembly GCF_000001405.40). Lineage (NCBI taxonomy): Eukaryota > Metazoa > Chordata > Mammalia > Primates > Hominidae > Homo > Homo sapiens. The sequence continues at coordinate 83,413,465 of NC_000010.11, forward strand.
GTAAGCTATAATCAACACAAGTAAAGTTGTGAAGTTAATATACACCCACTGCCTACACATTCTCCAATACAGGCTTCAAAACACAAGCCTGGGGATTGGCTCTTGGTTGCAGGTACTTTGCTAATCATTTATAGTTTATCATTATGCCTTAATATTATATCATTATGCCTTAATTATTATATTGGTGGTAAGACACGATTGAACTTTCATTTACATTTGAAAGTCTTCTTCAAAATTTGAAACAAATACTTGGACAATATATGCAGTATTAAGGAAATCTGTATGAAATTGTTTCTGGCTAAAGAAACAAGGATTATGTTTTCCAACTTGCCTTTAAAACATTGAATAAGTTAATAAAGATTATGAAGGATCAAAGCAAACTGAGAAATGCTAAGACTACTCATGTCAAAATCTGGAAAATTTTTCACTAAATTTAGATAAATGGATATGAATTAAGGAAAAACTATTATCTTCACCTCCTGGTGTATTTAGGATTTACCTCAGAAGAACTACATTTAACAATTAGAAGGTAAATACATTTTAACCTATCTGTCCAGATGTGCAGATTTTTAAAGTTTCTTACCATATTTCAAAGTTTACTTCAAGTTTATTGGGAAAGCACTTAAATTATGCTAGAGTATACACAATAAAAGTGATTTCTTACTTTTCCAGTTTCCAAGGGGGTAACCCCCAACTTTTCACTCTGTATATAATAGGGTGGGGGTGAGAAAGAGAGAGAGTAAATTCAAAAAAATTTGTGTTACTCATTTTTGACAGAAACAATTTTCAAATTCTCTCTTTTAAAAATAAATGTCAATATATATTAAGATCATCCATGTAGTAGTTACGAATCTACTTCATTCATTTAAATAATTATATGTTATTTAGTATATGAACATGCTTCTTTTAATAACTCTTGCCATTCATGCTTATTATCAGTATTTATGCAGTGCCTATATGTGTACATTAAGTCTGAAATTACACTTGTAAATTTTGAGATGCGCTACAATATTTATATCTAAACCAGTTTTCACTCCCATCTGTATCAGATTGTTCTTTTTTATCTATATCATCACCTGCAGTGAATATTGCAGCTTTAAAATTTAAAAAGTTTTTTAAATTTTCCATTATTAGAAGTTTCCTTGGTATTAGAAATTAGAAAAGGTTATTTGCTCAACTCTATCTGTTTAACACTCTACTGGAGATCGTGAGTGGTGCAGCCAGTGAGATAAATAAATTAGAGGCATTAGAACATGAAAGAAAAAAATAAGTCTATTTTTTCTAGCAAATGGCATAATTTTATCATAAATCTTTAAATATTTAGAAAAACTAATAGAATTAATAAATGAATTCTATATCAATACAAAAATATGAAGTGTGTTCTCTATACTAGAAATAAAATTCAAAAGTTTATATTTTTAAAAAGCATTTTAGAAGAAAATAAATATCTAGAATTAAATCTAACCAAGTTGTGTCAGATATCACTATGAAAATATATAAAAATCATTGACAATAGTTTAAGAACTAAATAAATGGAGAAGTATCCCCTCTTAAAAATCTTTTCAAGTGACATATAATAATTGCATGTATTTATGGGGCACAGTGTAATGTTTTGACCTAACATTTTAGAAACATTAAATCAAGATAATTAATTTATTCATCACCTCATCAACTTATTTTTTTTCTGGTGAGAACATTAAAAATCTGCTTTTAGTAAATTTGAAATATAAAATACACTATTATTAACTGTGGTCACCATGCAATACAATAACTTACTTAAACTTATTCTTCCATTCTAACTGAAAATTTGAACCCTTTGATTAGCATCTACACTTTCCCCATCCCTTTCTGTACCAAGAAACTTCCCACTTTCTGTTTCTATGAAATTGACATTATACTAAGTGAAATAACCCCGGCACAGAAAGACAAATATTGTTTAATATCACTGATATGTGGAATCTAAATAGAATTTAGATCTCATAGAAACAGAAAGTTGAAAGGTCAATATATAACATCATTAAATTTGCTATTGTGTTGTTTGAGCTCCTTTTATATTCTGGTTATTAATCCCTTGTCAGATGGGCAATTTATAAATATTTCCTCCCATGTTGTGGGTTGTCTCTTCACGTTTTCGGTTATTTCCTTTGCTATGCAGTTTTTTAGCTTGATGTAATCCTATTTATTTATTTTTGCTTTGGAGGTCTTAAACAAAAAATCTCTGCCCAATCCAATGTCCTAGAGCATTTCCTCATTTTTTTTCCTTCTAGTAGTTTCATCGTTCCGATCTTAGGTTTAAATCTTTAATCCATTTGGATTTAATATTTGTGTATGGTGAAAAAGAGAGGAGGGGTTAGTTTTATTCTTTTACATACAGTTATCCAGTTTTACTAGCACCATTTATTGAAGACCATTCTTTCCCCTATTGCATGTTCCTGGCACCTTTATCAAAGATTAGTTGGCTGTAAATTTATGGATTTATATCTGGATTCTCTATTCTGTTCTATTATTCTATGAATCTGTTTTTATGACAGTACCAGGTTAATTTGGTTACTATAGCTTTGTAATAAATTTTGAAGTCAGGTAGTGTGATGCCTCAAGTTTGTCCTTTTTGCTCAGGATTGCATAGATTATTCAGGGTCTTTTGTGGTCCCATATAAATGTTAACTTTTTTTTCTATTTCTGCTAAGCATGTAATTAGTATTTTGAGGAGAATTGCATTGTCTCTGTAGAATCTTTTTGAGTTGTATTGCTATTTTCACAGTATCGATTATTCCAATTCATGAGGATGGAGTACCTTTTTATTTTTTACATCCTCTTCAATTATTTTTATCCATGTTTTATAGTTTTTCTTGTATAGGTCTTTAACTTCTTTCATTAAATTGATTCCTGGATATTTTATATTGTCTGTAACAATTGCAAATGGGATTGTTTTCTTGATTTCTTTTTCAGATGGTTCACTGTTGGCATATATAAATGCTACTAATTTTTGTATGTTGATTTAGTATTATAGAACGTTAATAAATTTGTCATTATTTCTAACAGCTTTTTGGTAGAGTGTTTAGGATTGTCTAAGTACAACATCATGCCATCTGATCCTTGATTTCTTCCTGTCCAATATGGATGCCCTTTATTCTTTCCCCTTGCTTTATTGCTCTGGCCAAGACTCCCAGTACTATATTGAATACAAGAGGTGGAAGTGGACATTCTTGTCTTCTTCCAGGTCTTAGAAAAAATGGTGTTCAATTTTTTCCCATTCAGTATGGTATTAGCTATGGGTTTGTCATATATAACCTGCCTTATTTTGAGATGTCTTTATTCTACACCCTGTTTTATAGGATTTTTATCATAAAGGGATATTAAATTTTATCAAATTCTTTTTCAGCATCTCCTGAAATAATCTTATAGTTTTTGTTCTTGGTTCTGTTAATGTAATATGTCACATTTATTGGCTTTTATATGTCAAATTATTCTTGCATCCCTGGGAAATGAATCCCACTTAATCATGGTACATAATATTTTTAGTGTGTTATTGAATTTGATATGCTTGTATTTTCTTGAGGATTTTTGTGTGTATGTTCATCTGTAATACTGGCCTGTAGTTTTCATTTTTTTGTGGTGTCCTCATCTGGCTTTAGTATCAGGATAGTGCTGGCTTCATAAAGTGAGTTTGAAAGTATCTTCTTCTCTGCAATTTATCTGAATAGTTTGAGTAAAATTGGTATTCATTCTTCTTACATGTTTGTTAGAATTCAGGAGTGAAACAGTCAGGTCCTCATCTTTTCTTTGATCTCTAACTTCGCTATCAGTATATTGAAGTTTTCTATTTTTTCATGGTTCAGTCTTGGTAAGTTGTGTGTGTCTACAAATTTATTAATTTCTTCTAGAATTTCCAATTTGTTGATGCAAAGTTGTTTATAATAGTCTCTAATTGTTCTTTGTATTTCTGTGGCCTCAGTTATGTCTCCTTTTATATTTCTGATGTTATCTACTTGGGCCCTCTCTCTTTTTTCCTTAATCTAGTCAAAGGTTAGTCAATTTTGTTTATCTTTTCCAAAAAACTGACTTTTCATTTCACTGTTCTTTTGTACTATTTTTAGTTTCAATTTCATTTATGTCAGCTGTGATCTCTACTATATCTTTCCTTGTAATAATCTTAGGTTTGGTTTCTTCTTGCTTTTCTACTTTCTTCAGGTGTATCATTACCTAGTTTATTTGAAATCTTCTTTTTTGTTATAATTGTTTATTACTATAAATGTCCCTCTTAGTGCTGCTTTTGCTATATCCCACAGATTTTGGTATGTTGTATTTCCATTTTTAATTTTCTTTTTAATTTTTTCATTGACTCATTGGTTGTTTGGGAACATATTGTTTAATTTCCATGTGTTTATGGGTTTTTCTGAGGTTCCAGTTATTAATTTCTAGTTTTATTTTATTATGTTCAGAAAAGGCACTTGATATGATTTTAATTTTTAAATTTGGTCAGACATGATTTTGGCCTAAGATATGGTTTGTTCTGGAGAATGTTCCATGTGTTGATGAAGAGAACATGTACTCTGAAGCCGTTTGGAAAAATATTCTATAACTATCAATTAGGCCTCTTACATCTAATGTGTAGTTTAACTGCTATGTTTCTCTGTTGATTTTCTGTCTGGATGATTCAATTACTAGGAGTGGGTGTTAAAGTCCCCTACTATTATTATAATGTGCTCTCTCTCTCTTTAAATCTATTAATGTTTACTTTATGTAATTTGGAGCTCTGCTATTAGATATTAAAACATAGAAATTTATCATTATTAATCCTCTTTCGAATTGACTCCTTTAACATTACATAGTGACCTTTGACTCCTTTAAGTGTTTGATTTGTAGTTTATTTTATCTAATATAAATATAGCTACTCCTCATCATTTTGGGTTTATAATTGCAAGGAATATCATTTTTCACCCCTTCACTTTCAGTCTATATGAGTGACATAGATTTCTTACAGGCAGCATATAGTTAGTTCTTGTTTCATTATCCATTCAGGTATTCTATTCCTTTTAATTGAAGGCTATTTACATTCAGTTTTGTTATTAATAAGTAAGGGTCTACTGCTGCCATTTCGTTGCTGGTTTCTGTTTGTTTTGCAACTCCTCTTTTTCTTTATTCCTTTCTTACTGTCTTCCTTTGTTGGTAAGTGATTTTATCTGGTAGTATGTTTTAATTAATTGCTGTTTGTTGCCAGTGAGCCTATTACAGGTTTTGGTATTGTGGTTACTATGAAGCTTACAAGAAACATATTAATATATAATGTTATTTTAAAGAGATGAAAACTTCTCTTAGGTCACAAAGAAAAGAATAGAAACAAACAAAAGAAGAAAACTTCTGTACTTTAACTCCATCCCTCCAACATTTTGACTTTTAAGTATTTCCTTTCCATATTTTATGTTACCTATCTCTTAACAGGTTGTTGTAGCTGTTACTGTTTTTGATAGATTTGTGTTTTGTGTTTTATACTAAGTCTATGAGTGAATTGCACATCACAATTATAGTATTAGGGTACTCTGGGTTTGTCCATATACTTAATTTACCAGTGGATTTTATACCTTCAATTTTTTTTGGTTTTGCACATGAGTGTTTTCTTCTTTCAGATTGAAGAACTCCCTTTAGCATTTCTAGTTACACCAATCTGGTGGTATCAGCCTTTGTTTTTCTGGGAAATACTTTATCTCTCCTTCATATTAGAAGAGTAACTTTCCTGGATACAGTATTCTTGAATGACAGGTATTTGGGGGTTTTGTTTTGTTTTTCCTTTAAGTATTTTGAAAATGTTATTCTACTCCCTCCTGTGTGCTTTCCATTGAGAAGTCTTATGATATTTGCTTATTTTATCTTGCTGCTTTTATGATTCTCTCTTTATCTTTGACCTACAAGGTTTGATTATTATATGTCTCGATGTTGTCCTATTTGGATAAAATTTGTCATGTGTTCTCTGATCTTCCTGTACTGGACATTTATATCTTTCCCAGTTTTTGAGACATTATCCGTTATTATTCATTTGAATAACTCTCTGTTCCCTGCCCTTGCTCAACTCCCTCTTGAACATGAGTAATTCTTAGATTTGGTCTTTTGAGGTAATTTTTGGTATCTCATAAACAATTTTCTTGCTTTTGATTTCTTTTTTTGCTCCTCTGTGTATTTTCAATTAGACTGTCCTTGAGGTCAGTGATTCTTTTCTCTGGTTGATTCATACTCTTCTTGAGAGGCACTAATGAATTTTTCACTTCAGCAAATGTATTTCTGAGTTCTAAGATGTCTGTTTGATTTTGTTTATTATCTCCATCTCTTTGCTAAACTTCCATGATAAATTTCTGAATTGCTTTTCTGTGTTATCTTGAAGATCATTGAGTTTCCTTAAAATTACTATTTTGAATTGTTGATTAGAGCACTCACATATTGTCTTGTTCGGGTCAGTTATTGGTTTCTTGTTTTGTTTGGGGAGATCATGGTTGCCTGTTTACTATTTTTTTCTTATGGATGTGCATCTATGTCTTTGCACCAAAGGATTAGTTATTTTTTCTAGTCTTCTCTCTCTGGCTGAAAGAGCTGGGAATTCTTCCCTGATTGAAAGGCTCTGTGCTCAGTGTGGCATTAGTACATGAATGAATCCCAGTCTTTCCCACCCGTTTTGATGTGGATATGTTCTCAGTCATTTAGTTTGTAGGAGTCTTTCAACTACACTCTGGCTTTCTCTTGGAGATAACTGATCCATGTGTAGATGTCAGGAGGCTTCTGTTCTGCCATGTTGCTCATGCCATCTTCAGAAATATACCATTTTTATAGTAGGAAAGTCGAATACTGTAAAGGTCTCAATTCTCCTCAACTTTATTTATAAATCCAACATAATTAGAATAAAATCTTAGCAGATTTTTAAAGTCAAAATTGACAATTGATTTTTAAATCTGTAAGGTTCTAAAATAGTTTAAATAATCAAATTGAAAGAAGAAGTTCAGAGAATGTACATTACTACTAATATCAAGATACTTATAAACCTATAGTGACAAAGACAGCATGAAAATGGACAAGAAAAGACAAATAGGCCAATGGAGCAGAATAGAATTCAGCTATTGTTACCTGAAACTTAGCTGTAATGAGGCAAGGCTGCAGTTTTCAAAACCTGGTGTTTGGTTAATTGGCCATTCTTATGAGAAAGAAAAAAAATTCTTTATCCCTACTTTACACCACAAGTACAAATAAACTGTAGTTGGATTGTAGAACTAAGCATAAAAGGTAATCTAATAATACTTTTAAGAAAAAATAGAAGAACTTTATTACTTAAAAATTACTTTAAAAATTCAAAAATGTTACTTTGGCAAAAACATCATTAAGGGAATGAAAAGGCAAGTTACAAAGTGGATGTACACATTTAAAGTACAAAGGGATTATATCCATGATTTATTTTTAAAATTTCTATACTAGGAGAAAAAAAGGCAAATAAGGTAATATAAATACTGGCAAAGAATTTAGGGAAGGTTGTGACTGAAAGACAGCTATCAAGAAGACTTCTAGAGTGCTACTTTTTGAATTAGGGGCTAGTTACATGTGTGTCCACTTTATAATTATTAAAAGCTGTATACTTATGGTCTGCACTATTTTTATATATATTTCATTTCAACATAATGATTGTATAAATATATGAAAGTAAATAAGCTTTGCTCCTGCCTAAAGAAAAAAAACATAAAGAATGCTGGCAGCTCCATTTGGTTTTTATTTGTTATTATCTGAACAAGAGTACATAAAATAAATTTTCAAATTTTTATTAGGAATATGTGTTTCTTCCTTTAGAACTTCAATAAGCATATCCTTTGCAATTGTGCATTGGATGAATTATCCTCATGTTATGTATTTTAGAAGTTCATTTTATGTATTTCTAGAGGTTATGAATGTATATATATGTTTTTTGTGTGTATATATGTAATTATATATATATGTATATATATGTGTGTGTATATATATTTTTTAAGTGTTAAAATTGGAAGTCACTGGGAGGTGTACTGCATGACATAATATTTAATTTTATCTACACTTTCCTCTGCTTCCAAAACATATCATACATAAATTTATAAATAAAATTATAGACATCTTTAAAAAACAATATTCTAAGAAAAAAGCAGATATTAACAAAGTTTACATTTAAATAAGAAGAGCATAGTGATTTTATTTATTCATTTACATTTTTATGTTTATCATTTTACATTTATAGTAACTAAAATTGATATGTGCATGGATTTAATAAAACCAATGCTATTATATATTTATGTAGATTAAAAAAGAATATAATTCATCCCTCTAAATTTATTGTTATATTCATTATCATTCCAATCTTTCAAAAATATTATTTGATAAAACTAGACTAATTAAAAAGTCTATCTGAAAGTAAATAATGTTTTAATTTTGCCATGAAACAAAAATTAAACATATATAGAGATTTTCCATATTATATATCAAAACTTACTACATGATTATAAAAATATAAAAAGGGCAATTGATCAGTGGAACAGAAGCAGAATACAGAAATAGACCCATATAAGAGGATTCAGTACAAGACAGAGGAGGATTTTTCCGTAGATAAGTGAACAGATTTTTCAATAAATGCTTGGGAACAACTGGATAAACATTTGGAAAAAATATAGTGGGATAATTCACAAAATTAAAAAAACTAACTTTCAGAAATATTAAAAATAGTTGTATAATAAACCCAAACTTATAATTACTGTGACACAATGGGCCATCTGAATTGAGAAACAAAATCCAGAAACCATAAAAAAAGTCTGATAAATTAATTGTGCTTGAAATTTTAATTTCAAAATTTTTCAGAAAAAAAGATATTTCAACAAAATTAATAAAATTAAGCAGTCAGCTGGAAAAAAATATGTATAACCTGTTAGACACGATCCAGAATTTCTATACCATAAAGAAAAATGTAAAGACAAAACAAATAGAAATAAAAAGAAAAGTAAATGAATCTTCTATTCAAGGAGTAAAACAAATTGCTAACAAATATGAAGAAAGATGCTCAACCTATTTGCAATCAAGTAAGTGAACATTAAAATAAGACAATATCAGCCTGAACAAAATTAAAAAGTGATTGATAATATTCATGTTGAAAGTAAATATTGGTATTTAATTATACATATAATTTTTTATGACAATTGCTACTTAAACTTTAATCTGAGTCACTGGGATTTCTTGTTAAGATGTAGATTTTGAAAGAGAAGGTCTGGAGTGCGGCATGGGACTTATTTCCAAAAATTAGATCCTTCATTAATTTTGACATGTACACAAAGATATATTTACTAGGATACCTATTGTGGAATTATTTTAATTGTGAAGAACTGAAATCACTCAAATTTTTATTGGAAAGAGAATATCTCTATAAAATCAGGTACAGCCTGAGGGATATCATACAGTAATGTAAAAGGATGAAAATGAATTACCTATACTGATATGAAGAGAAATTTTCACAAGAAAGCAGACCAAGTTGAAAAATAAAGTGTGCTGTATAATCTCACTTAAGTGCTTTCCTGGTTATGAGGGAGAAGTGTAAAGGTGTACCTGTCAGGAAGGATGCCTGTCATGAGTGGGCGTTGAGGAGTAAATGGGGTAAGTGTTGAGATAAATTTCTCTGACCACCACTGTCAAGTTCAAGTCAGAGGACATATTTATTGGTATAACAAAGTACACACTTCACTTGAAATAACACAAAAAATTACAAAATCACTTGAGTGACATGCTCTTTCTATATCCCCTTCCTTTATATCTTCTGTCTCCTTCCCTGATCCTCTACTTTTTCTTTTTTTGGTACATCTGTGATATTTTGTTTTTGTTAATAAGACAATTGAATGCCTGGTCATTAATAATGGTACTATGAATCATCAGATTGTACATATAAATTGTTCATAAGAAAGAGTAATACCCATGCAAACATTATTGATGATGTATATGGTAAAAATGGATTAGAATGCCTTAAAACTGTAAGATTAAAGAGTCATTCTGAAAGTTACATTAATATAAACTAATGGCTTACATCCATCAGCTAAAGAAGCAAATGTAATGTTACATTTAGTGTAAAGTTGAATCAGTAATGTGAATACTTAAGTTAGGGCTCTCTGATGTTCTTCGATGATCTGTTTACCTTATTTTAATAAGAAAAACAACACACGAATGAGGCATGGGAAAGGCCATGATGTTGGAAAATATCTCTGAAATACTAGACTACACAAAGTGCTTAATAGTACTTCAAGGAATGGTAATCTAGTTTATATTCAATTTATTTCATTTCTCTACAAACCCCTGAGGAACATATTCCATTTGTTGCACAAAAGCCAATTATAGTAAAGGGCTGTTCATAAGAGTTTCTGGCTTTCAGAATCAGTTCTCACTGTTTAAAAGTGCATTTTCTGATGGCTGTGAGGCTAATCATTTCTAATTCTTCAGTAACTATGTTTATAGGATTGGAATAAAAACTACAGTGTTCTCTTAGTGTTTGGTGTTGACCAACATTAACAAACTAACAAAAAAGGAGAATTAAAAAGACCTTGGCTTATTGTGAAAACAGAATCACAAAGAATAATTTCATGGTAACAAGATTCCCCTCATGGGGGTATAAATTGTCAAAATGCTTTGATAACTTTCCCATTGGAAAAACAACCCTACTTCAAAGCTAGTTCACATAGTCAAGACAACATGGTCCAGTAAGCTTTTAGCTTTGGCGTTCCCTTTTTACTTCTTTAAATGAAACTGACTTAGACATGTAGTATGTTAAGTGAGCTTCCCTGGGTGAAAAGGGGTGGAAAGTGCCTAGAACTCTGCCCTTAGGCCATGTTTTCTCATCACCTTGGGATGTGCTACTTACTAGTTCTGTGCTTTTGGGCAAGTTATTCTCTTTTCTGGATTCAGTTTTCTTGTCTGTAAAAATGGGTAAACTCCCCTTGCTCACAAAATTGTTGAAAAGGTAAAACTATCCAATGTGAAGAAGGCACCCAACATATGTCCAGTGGATATTCATTAGATGTTCTTCCTTTCCCTCAACATGGGCTCTTAAAGCCCTACATGAAAAAGCTGTTTTACCTTTTCAATCCAATAATTTTCCATTTGGGTCTTTGGGCCATAATCTATTATGATCTGATCAAAAAGAGCATTTCAGGAACTTCTTTGGCTTGTGAACTTTTCTTAAATTGCCCAGTATTTCTCAGTGGAGCACTATTGACACTGAGGTGGTAAAATTCATTATGTAGGGCTGTCCTGAACATATAGAAGGCTTATTCTCTAAAAGCTGCCCATTAAATGCCAATAACAAATCAGTCATTGTAACATTCCGAAACAGACAAAGAAAGAACAGCAAAAGGCTGTTCCTGATGGCTCACACCTGTAGTCCCAGCACTTTGAGAGGCCAAGGAACGCAAATCACTTGAGGTTGGAAGTCGAGACCAGCCTGGCCAACATGGTGAAACCCCGTCTCTACTAAAAATACAAAAATTACCTAGGTGTGGTGGCATGTGCCTGTAATCCTAGCTACTCAGGAGGCTGAGGCAGGAGAATCGCTTGAACCTGGGAGGCAGAGGTTGCAGTGAGCCAAGATCACACCATTGCACACCAGCCTGGGCAACAGAGCAAGACTCTGTCTCAAAAAACAACAACAAAAATAACCAAAACAAACAAGCAAACAAAACAGCAAAATACCCTTACACATTTCCAGTCACCCTCTGTTCCTCAACAAAAACCAATGAAGCATTCAAAATGGAATTACCTGACAGGTTTGTCCTGCTCCCTGCACATACAAAATCAATTCACTGAGACCGCAGCATTGCAGTAAAGAAGGAGTTTAATTGATGAGAGGCCAGCCATGTAGGAGATGGAGTTATTACAAATCAATTTCCCTGAAGGCTTCGAGGTTAGAGTTTTCAAGAATAGTTTGGTAGGCAGAGGGGACTAGAAAATGGTTGCTGCTGATTGGCTGGGGATGCCATCATAGGGGTATGGAAAATGGTCCACAGGTGCCAGGTCGGCCTCTGGGTGGGGCCACAGGACCAGCTGAATCATGAATCAGGAGTCCAGGTGGAGCTAGCTAGTCTCAGAAATGCAAAAGTCTGAAAAGACATCTCAAAAGGTCAATCTTAGGTTCTATAATACTGATGTTATCTACAGGAGTAATTGTGAGTGATGTTACAAATCCTGTGGCCTCCAGAACAATGGCTGATCCCTCTCATAATTCTAACCTTGTGGCCTTTCTTTAGTTTTACAAAGGTGGTTTTGGGAATAACTATTATCATCCATGGCTGGTCAGGGTGGCTCACACCTATAATTCCAGCACTTTAGGAGGCCAAGGCAGGCAGATCACTTGAGGTCATGAGTTTGAGACCAGCCTGGCCAACATGATGAAACCCTGTCTCTACTAAAAATTAAAAAAATTAGCCAGGCATTGTGGAAGATGCCTGTGATTCCAGCTACTCGGGAGGTTGAGGCAGGAGAATCACTTGAACCAGGAAGGCAGATTTTGCAGTGAGCTGCGATCACACCACCGCACTCCAGCCTGGGTGACAGAGCAAGATTCCATCTCAAAACAAAAAACAAAAAACCCTAATATCATCCTTGCTTTCAAGTTAAACTATAAACTAAATTTCTCCCAAAGTTAGCTTGGCCTACCCCTGGGAATGACCAAGGACAACTTGGAGGCTAGAAGCAAAATGGAATCAACTATGTCAGATTTCTCTTACTGTCATAATTTTGCAAAGGCAGTTTCAAAAATTCTACCACAGTCCTTTCCACTTTATTCATGATTTCACACGGTTTAATGAAACATATCTATTAAAGACTTTTAATAGGCTAGATTTAACTTAATGTTTATTGAAGATAAACCTCCTTTTCTTTACCTATTATTATAAACAATATTTGGTCCAGGTCAACTATAAGGTGCATGAACATGTAAACACCATCAATGCTTCCAGCTATAGATATTTAATTAACTTCGAAAAAAAAAAATCACACCACCTGCACCTGGGAGAAAGCTGTAACTCCCACTATCTCATGAAATATGCTATCCATCTGTATACAAGCAGCTGAAAAAGCAGAAACTAAATCCTTACCATCCACAATCAGAATTCAACCCACTTGCTTTTCTAATGAGAATAGGACTAGAATCTTTTTTTTCATTACATAAAATCTAAATTTCACTCTCCCCCATATCACAAATAATCCTTCATTTTATTTAAGGACTAACTGCAATTTATTACACTAGGTTTCTCAATTCCTACACCTAGGAGTTGGAATAAATTCAGCATTTGACACTTCAGATTAATTAATTTGCGATTTCCTCTAACAGCTTTGTCCTCCAACATAAAGCTCTTCCTATTTCAAAGTCCATGTGGCCTATTTTACTGTTTTCTAATTTTTCATTTCTGTTCTTAAGCCACCTTTACTCCTCAGAGATTTGTGAAGCAGAGGACTGATAAGCTTCTCTGAAAACAATAAATAAACAGAACTTCCTGACTCAGTTTATCAACACTGTCATAAACACAGGTGAGCCCAATCGTCAAGGCACTTGGCATTTCTGCATTGAACTTTTCACATTAGGATAATCGCATCATCACATATCCTCATTATCACAACTGAAATTTTTACCTGCGAGACGTGGGTAGTTGGTGTGTGGAAACTTAATTGTGCCTGCACTTGAGAAAGGATTCTGCCCCCTCCCTAGTTACCTCAAATCAGATGCTTGTGCAGTCCAACTTTGGAGAAATGCACAGCCACAGCCCCGCTGCCTGAGGCAACCACTCAGCAGCTGTCAGAGGACATCACAAATGCTTTCTGTCTGTTATTTTTACGGCAGTGGCTGATCTCTAACAGCCTCCTGGTAACAAATGGAGCCACTGAGAGCTTTCCAACAATGCAGCCTCCAGTAGGATGAACTCCTCCAGTCCCTATACCAGGAAGATAGAAAATGAGGAAGACACACAGAAGACATGCTAAGCCAGCAGTTCCACTGACCCAGAAAATTAAACTCCATCCTCATCATCTGGCTTCCTACATCTCAAGAAAAAAGAAAAGCATGATTAAGACAAAGGAATGAGAACAGAAAAAAAAAAATGAAGCACATAGAATATAAGGCTAAATAATCACTAGCATGGGCTATGACCAAGACACTAATATTTTTCTCTCTCCACCTTGATTCCTGCTCAAAGGAATGCTCTTGACAACTGTGTTCACAAAGAGAATGTTTGTAAACTTTTGTCCCAAAATAACACCCACATGCAGTTTTCAGGTTGCTCATGTTCTATAAGCCTAAACGAATTTCCCATTTGCTTCAGTTTTCTTTTTTCTTCAAGAGAAGTTTTTATCTTTTCAACCTGAAGTGTTTGCTGTTGTGCCCCATGGAGGTTCACTGGAAATCTCTGACATAAGGCAGATTGATTAATAGGAGAAAAAGCATACAAATTTATTTAATGTGTGTACCCAGGAACCCTTAGAATGAAGACCCAACATCCCAATGAGGTACAGAAGCTTGTAACCACCTTGAGGTTACAGAAAGAATGGGGCTTGGATTCTGGTAGAAGAAAATATGAGATGGGGGAGGAGAGGAATTCTATTGAGGAGCAATAAATGATTACTAGGGAGACTGATTGGATCAGGGAACAGAGATTAACTTGTAAATTGTTCTCTTTGGAATTTAAATGACCCTTGGAGAAAGTCATTATACATGTAAAGAACTCTGTTCAGATATGGTTATATTCTTGGTCTTCTTTTCTGCAGTAAATAATGAAATAAGGAGGGCAAGAAAAAATAATTGTTTTCTTTGCTAGGTCTGGATCTTAGGCAGATAAAGGAACTCAACCTCTATGGGAGAGATAGTTTAGGGGGAGGTCAGAGAGACCTTGAGGCTTCTTTGGTTTAGCATATTAAAATGCTGTATGTTGGGTATTGCTGTATTTTGGGTATTGGAACAGTGTTGATCCATTTGAAAGGTAGCAGATAAAACAAATATGGTTGTGATATGTGGGGAAAATGAAGCTCAGATTGTCCTTTCAGCTATTTAAATAACTACTTCTCTTATAAAGTGAACCTGCCCTACAAAATGTAGAGATTGTCTCTCATCAGCAGGTCCTTGCCTTATGATGGAGGCTGGGCGGGTATTACTGACACCAGCCTAATGATAAGAAGCCAAGGATGAGAGAGCAAGGAAGTGAATTGGCCTGTCACTTCCAGTACCAACACCTTCAATTGCTCTGAACTCTGCAGACAGTCCCGTAGAGGTGAAAAATGAGTTTCTTCTCCACCCTTTATGAATTTTTAGCTGTGACTGTTAGAGTACTTAGATAGGAAGATATGAGCAGGGCAGGATAGGGCCCCAAAGAATGTCAGGCAACCATGAGGTAACTGTCAGGCAATTGTCCAGTGGTGTCCTCAGGAATGATAAGTGGTTGTGGCTGATGACAGGGAGAAATGTTTTGAGCCTGTGGGCAAGAAATTCCCAATAAGAATTTTTAAAAATGAACATGTATAGGTATGTGCAGTAAGGGAAAAAATGGTGGGGTTTGACTGGTATATGACCCTCCTCTAGAAGCACTAGACTGGTAAGGAACAATTGTCCTAAGAGAACATGTGTGTAACTTCAACCACCAGAAAGCATATGTGACCCTTCCCAGACACTGGCAAGTCACTGTGCATATGGTGATTAGCCAGCAGCCCACTCAAGGGGGAGGATGAGAGGAGGAGACCAGGGAAAAAACAGGAAATAGTAAATCTGTAAGAGCCCTGAGTCAAAGATCAGGTGGGGCCCCTGATCTTTCAAGTTGCCCATTGGTCCTTTCCAAGTGTACTTTGCTTTGTTCAAAAAACTTTCACATCTGTTTTAAAATCTACTTTTGTCTCTTAGCTGAATTCTTTCTTCCAAGAAGAATCAAGGACCAAGGATCCCATTTGAATTCTCCACTGGTATCAGGACTCCTGCAACAGAAGACAGATTAACAGCAGAAAAGCAAACATAAGTTTAATAACAGGTACAGCTCCTGAATATGTCACACGCATCCACGTGAAAAGACCACCAAACAGGCTTTGTGTGAGCAATAAAGCTTTTACTCACCTGGGTGCAGGCAGGCTGAGTCCAAAAAAGGAGTCAGCTAAGGGAGATAGGGGTGAGACAGTTTTATAGGATTTGGGCAGGTAGCGGAAAATTGCAGTCAAAGGGGGTTGTTCTCTGGCAGCCAGGGGCGGGGGTCACAAGGTGCTCCAATGGGGAGCTTCTGAGAATCATTGTCCAGGAGAAGGAATTTCACAAGGTAATGTCATCAGTTAAGGCAGGAACCAGCCATTTTCACTTCTTTTGTGGTTCTTCAGTTGCCTCAGGCCATCTGGATGTATACATGCAGGCTTGGGCTCAGAGGACTGACAGTATACATGAGAGAGAACTCAGAGAAATCAGTAAACCTCTAAAGTTGTCAAAAAGTTTGACAACTCAAACAAAAAGTTTGAGATCGCTAAAGATCTCAAAAAGTTGTCCTCAGACTTCAGGCTTAAATATAATCATTCTCAAAATCAAAGAAAGAGGGGCGTGGGGACAGGCCCTTTAACTGTAAAACAAGGATAAGGTCTGTTATGCAGATTTAAGTATATACCCCTTCTTTTAACTAAAGTCTCTAGTGATTTAGTTGGTCTTCTCTTCCTGGTACAAAGTGGGAAACACTTTTTACAAAAGGAGATCTCTTTATAGATGTAAATTTTTCTTATAAATGGATAAACTTTCAGAGGTGCTTCTGTGTCTGAGGTGCCATAGAGGTGAATTGGGGGTGCATATACTGGTCTCTTACAGTCATATGTGGAGAAACATTTTCTGAACCCCATCAGTAGCAATACAGCCTATGTCCTTATGACCCTTGTAAAGTGACTATTCAGAATCTAACAAAGGTTGATGGAATGAGCATCTGACCAATGTAAATCAAAGAAAATTACTGCAGCGAGTCTCAGTCATGTTAGAGGTTTATTTGCCAAGGTTAAGGATGAGCACAGGATAACAGGAACACAGACCACAGAAAACATCTGTGTTTTCTGGTACTTTAATATTTAAAGGAAAAAAGTGGGTATTAAGGGAAAGAGGGAAAAAAAAGGAGAGTAGATAAAAGAGGCAAGTGGTTGCATTTCTTTGAGTCTGCTCAGTCTTTGCTGAATCCACATTTTACATGTGAAAGAGAGTAGAGGAATAGTCACTTATGTAATTGTCTCTTGCTCAGGGAATCTGCATTTTTATGTAAGATAAAATAAATATAGGGTAGAGGAAGCAGTTAGATATGCATTTGTCTCAGGTGAGTGGAGGAATGACTTAGTTCTGTCCTCTGCCCCATAACTATGAAGATAAGTTGTCAATTTACATTGTCAGAGTGAAATTTAACAGAACAATTTTAGGGGAAAGATCTTGGGGGCCTACAAGGAATTTCCTTGTGAGCAAATTGTGAGGGAAGTATGTAGCTTTTTTATCTTTGTAGCTATTTTATTAGGAACAAAACTGGATGCAGGTTTGGGTGACCCAGTTCCCAGCTTGACTTTTCCCTTTGGCTTAGGGAATCTGGGGTACTGAGATTTATTTTCCTTTCACATCACCCAGGCCTTATTTGATCTCAGGTCTTCCCATTTTGCCTCACCTCCAGTGCTCTCTTAGAACAGAATACCTTCCCAGCAAGGATATCACACTCCTAACTTTTAATCTATTGCCTTCATTTGCAGACTGTTCAATCATTGTTTTCCCCCTCCCATTCTGTTGCAACCCATTGTGAAATTAATAAACAAATAATATCTATTTTAGTTTGGCCTTGTCTCTGTACCTGTCAAAGCTGTAGCATCCTCAAGGGCAGCCCTCATAGGTGAATTTCAGCCATTCACTCTAATTTCAAACAGTTCTCGTAACTAGAGTCATGTAATAGCTCTCATATGGACATAAGGCTACTGAACTTGCATTTGGAGAGATCCTGAATAACTCCACTAACAGGGGGAATGATTTTCATTAAATCATCAACATTCTATGTCTTATTTTTTTTTTTTTGCTACCAAGAGATCATATATGGAAAATGGAAAGGGAAAAACAAGAAATTAGATATATTTATCTGTACGCATACAATCCTTTAATATACTTGGGTTTTTCTGTCTTTATTTCTATTCTAAGGCTTGGCACTAAGTTTCAACAGTACATGAAGGATGGCTCTATCGTAAATAAACTGTCCTAGGTTTCTAATAGGCCCTACCCATTCCTATGTGAAAATTAATCTACTGCATTATGTTGCCTTTGGTTTGAGTTTTTATGAAAATACTATTTAACATTAGAATGCATCAGAAATATGTCTAGTTATTCTTATATTATTCCTGGAGAATTCTTTCTTTATAGTTGACCAAAATGTGATTACTTGTGATTTTAAATTTATATAAAATTATGTCAGTGTTTGTAACAAAATGGCTTTGAAACAGAAAAGTTACAATTGTTACAGAATGCTGGGGCTCAGCAAGTGATACTCCATAAGTATGGCTCTTTAGCATGGTGAACACTTTGAACTAAAGTAGGAAGGCCTTAGAAGCTGCCTCTGAATCAAGGATTTTCTAACCTCTCCTGTCTTTCCCATCTCCTACCCACCCAGCACAGGATAAAATTTTACTCTGATATTCCCTAATCTGTTTTAACACTGGATCTGCCAAAGAGAATACAATTGCCTTCCATCCCCTCTCTGAAATTTCATTATCTTTTTTTCCCAATGATTTCTGCTGTCATCTGATGAAATTTCATTTCTGTTGAAGAAAGAAGACTGAGGAATGTAACCACATCTGGATGGATTTTGTCACAAGACATTGTCTGTATCTAGGGCTCATTCAGGTTACAAAGACATTGTTTACAAGACAATATCTGCCTTCTGCCTCCATTCAATTCTCCTGAAAATAATTTACTACCTCGAAAAATTGCCACATTTCCTTTTCCCCTCTGAAGGCTGGTATGTAAGCATCTGGACCTCAGTAAGTTATTGCGTAAGGATTCTCCTGTTATTCCCCTGTGCTTATAGATAGTAAATAAATTTGTACGCCTTTTTCTTCTGTTAATCTGCTGATTGTCAGTTCATTTTCAGCAAACCTTCAGAGGGTGACAGGGAAGCCTTCTCTTCTCCCCTACAGATTTGGCATAGTTAGCAAGATATTCCAGAAGCCACAGTCCAGTGAACCCAGTGATACCAGTGGACTGGGAAAGGTACTTGAACTCCAGTGGGATCTCAACCCCAACCAGTAACCAGGCTCCTGACACCATCAAGAGAAAGAATTCAAGGATGAGTCAGAAAATAGTGCAAGCATGGAGATTTATTGCAAAGGGCAAAGTACACACTCAAGAGAGGGGAAAGCAGGCGAACTCGAGAGGAGAGAGTGGTGTACTCAAGAGCGAGTCGTGCAAGGGGGTTTGGGGGCTACTATTGTGGCAGGACAGGTCTCACTAAGGCCAGCCTCCGTAACAACTGTTCCAGCACTGACTGACTGGTTAAGTTAAATATTAAAAGCTGATAGAGCCAGTGCCCTTCTACAAAGGCTGGAATGTAACAGAAGCCCACCAAGAGTTTTGCCTAGGCCTTTCCTGAGCCCTGAAGCATGATGAGATAACAAAGAAATTCTCAATGGGACCTGTTTAGGATTAAACAAGTTTTACTGGGAGTCTGAAGAAACTCCCCAGGCTTCCACAAACAAGTTTACTGGGGGTCTGAAGGAATTCCCCAAACTTCCATAATTTAGCAGGAGACAAGCTAAGGGTAATCACCCAGCACCTGGACCCATTTAGATTAAATACATTTACTGAGGCTCCAGAGGAAGGCCTTCAGGACTCAGATCTTAGTTATAGATTAAAATAAGTTCATCACTTATGTCTTTAGATAAATGCACACTTACATGTAAACATAGCTTAGAAAGTGTATAAGCTCTGGAGAACTTCGTAATTTTTAGTCTGGCTACCTTTTCCAGGCCTTCTCCCTGCGACCAGTTACAGAAATAAAAGCTCCCTTCTCTCCCAGTTCATCTGCATCTCATTATTGGGTCATCAGAATAAGCAGCCTGACCCTCCGTTTGGTCTGGGAACACTACCTTTATGGGTTTCTTTAATCAAAGGGTGGAATATTCATGAAAATTCCTGGAAAAAGATAGAGATTTCTCAGAACTGTGGTGCCACCCATTTTACACCAATGTTCTTGAAGGTGTCATGGCACTCGTGGGTGTGCGATCTATTATGTCAATGAGCATATAATGAGATCCTAGATGACATTTTGGTCACATCCAGTGCCATGTTAAGTCCAGCTGGTCTTACTTAGCCAGCTTGGTCCACACCCTGGCTTTTCAGAGTCCTATCAGCCCATAGTCCTCAGTCATGTGAAACTGCTGCCTGGAATCTTGTATTCTCCTTTGACCACCCGGTATTATTCCTGTCTCACCAGGATGTGAGAAGCTGGCAAAAAGGCTAAAAGTTTCTTATCAGTCAGACTCCCGGGTCTTTATTTGTGGAATCCAGTCAAGCAGATAGTAAGAATCACTGCTGGTTGTCTGTTTGTTTTACCTTTTAAAATTTAAAATAATAGGAGAAAAGCATTTGTAAGGACTAGTCTTAGGTATAGCAACTCTGGGGTATTTTTGCTGTGAGTAGTCATATTATCTGATCTTTTTCCTACCAGAAATGGTCTTTGTCTTCCCACTTTATTTGTCATCAGTAGGAAAACTGCAGGATAGAACATGGCCCTTAAGCCTTTGTAAGCTTGTTGTTTGAGCCAGCCTCATAGACTGGTGAGTTTGCAGTTCTCATCAAACTGATATTTTTAAAAACAAACTGCTGTAGTTCCTTGAACTAAAACAAATGAGGTTTCTGTATCATCTTGTTTTATGTCCTGAAAATTTGTCTTTTGTGACCAGGCACAAGCACCCTCTCTTGATCTCCACCAGCCAGTGGACATGATTTTCAAGTCATGTCAGGTGGCCAGTATAAAAACACTGAAACCTTGCAATACATAAAATTACTAAATAGCACTCTCTCTGTTTTCAACATGCCAAGCTCTCAGAAGAGTTTGTCTTAATAAGTCCCGTCCATAAGAGGCTTTTATCATCTCAACCTTTGTTGCCTGGTTAGTGCTGGAAAAGCTCAATTTCAGAAGTGCGGTGCAGTGTCACAGGTTGGCAGGTCTGTGACTGGCAGCACCCCCATATGTTCATTTGTCCATGTGCTCATGGGAAGCAATGGAGAGATTGTCTGCACAGCACTGTTTTTAACTATCTGTGGCAACAAGGATCCTTTGGTTTCCTTAGTCTATTTCTGGAAGTGAATATTTGTGGTACATGGAGGCTACTTCTTCCATGCCCTCTTTGGTAACATCTCTTGCTTCAATGGTAAAAATTTATTCTAAGCCTGGAAAATTACTTCATGGTTTTTCCATGAAGAGGAGTATTGGATTGAGTCATTGAAAGGGATGGCTAACCTGCTTAAGCCCACCAAACTTAACCTGTCTTGCTTGCTTTTAATCGCATACTTCTAGTTAATCTTAAAAGCTATATGGTAAAAGTCATGTAGCTAAGTAATCTACTAGTTTCCTTGTAGATAACATCTCTGACATATAGATCACCATGCTAATGGTTACTTAAAGTGTTTCTCGGGAACTTGGAATCAGCTCTTGTCCAATTCAGGTGGTTGAGACCACTGACCCTTCAAATGGGCCTATGAAAATGCCTGAAAAGTGACCTTTTGATGTCAGAGGGCTAAAAACTCCTCCCTCTGATCATGCTTATGCCATCGTTTTCTGAACATGTGTCCTATGAAGAACCATGAACCCTAACTATGTGTGTGCAGGCCACCAAATATCTCACTTTTCCCCACGGCCAATCATTTTACCCCATACTTTAGACCACACCATTTCTTTATCCTATAAATATCTCTAAATTCTGTCTTCTGGAAGGCAAATTTGAGACCTGTTCTCCCACCTCCTCACTTGGCTGCCTTGTGAATAAATTCTTTCTCTTTCGCAAAACCTGTCATCACAGCTTCACAGTGATTGGCTTGCTGTGCACAGGCAGAATGAACCTGGTTTCATATCATCATTATTTTAATAAATACACCATTGAGGATCCTAATTATCAATGACCAGACAACGGATCTTTAAAAGTTAGAAAGGCTCCTATATTTAAAAATATATACATATAAATGCATACATATATACATACACACACATACGCATGTGTGTGTATGTGTGTAAAGAGCTCTCATCTTAAGCAAAAATCAGATTTAAAACAAAGTTAAAATCCTCTGAATGCTGAAATTGGCTGTTTTGGATTCCCAGTGGGATTTGCAAAAAAAAAGTACTCCAGCCTGTGAACTAATGGCTAGGATTCAGTGTTTTTTCTGCCATGGCTTTGGTTTGATCAGGGTTATCAGTCCTTTGAAGATGTAAATTCTTTAACTTAGCAGAAGAAAAGACTCATTTGTGAGAACTAGTTTAAATTGTTTTTAATTTATATTAGTATGGCCCTTGACTTTTGGGATACGGATACCTATTTGTTTGTAAGACTTTCTTTCCCATAAACGGCTTTTGTTTTTCTATTTTGTTTAATGGAGTGCTTGTCTTAAAACTTTCCCTTCTTTAAGCTGTTATTGGAAGTCATCTGGATCTTGGAAGGGCTGTAGCTTACTGCTCTTTCTTTGGAGACCTTGGTTTCTTGATTTTGGTCTCCTGTGTGCTCATTTGTTTTGGTTTTAAGTCATGTGTTTATGTATAATTTTGGTTTAAAACTTTGGCTTATTTTTAGAGCCTGGCAGCAGCATTTTAATCTGTTTTTCTTGCTTTCTCTACCGGGATAAAATAAACCCATATGCTAAAAGAAACAAGAGAAACATGCCTTAAGACAAAACAACAACAACAACAAAAAAAAAACAGGAATATGACTAGAAACTCTCTTCGTCCTGTCTTTCTGTCTTTCTTATCTTCATTAGCTTTTCTCTGCAGGCTCCTTGGAGCAGGCCAGGGTAGTCTGGAGGGTTAGATGCAGCTTGGTCCAGAGACACATGCCTTCTGCCACCACCACCACTACCACCACCACTGGTCCCTCAGCTCTGGTGAAAAGCTGGCTGCTCATGTGACAAACTTTTCTAGAGCTCACCTATTCTTACTGTGATGGTTAATACTGAGTGTCAACTTGATTGGGTTGAAAGATGCACAGTATTGATCCTGGGTGTGTCTGTGAGGGTGTTGCCAAAGGAGATTAACATTTGAGTCAGTGGGCTGGGAAAGGCAGACCCACCCTTAATCTGGGTGGGCACCATCTAAACAGCTGCCAGCATGGCTAGAATATAAAGCAGGCGAAAAAACATGAAAAGACTAGACTGGCCTAGCCTCCCAGCCTACATCTTTCTCCCATGCTGCATGCTTCCTGCCATCAAACACGGGACTCCAACTTCTTCAGTTTTGGGACTCAGACTGGCTCTCCTTGCTCCTCAGCTTGTAGATGGCCTATTGTGGAACCTTGTAATCCTCTGAGTTAATATTTAATAAACGCCTATATATATATGTATGTATATGTGTGTGTGTGTGTGTATATATATATACACACACACACACACACACACACATATATATGTGTATATATATATGTGTGTGTATTTCTTTGGATTGTGCTTCTCCCGTTAGGAACCTCTCAGTTGACTATAACCCTTTTTTCAAACCCCCTGCTGACTATACACCTACTCCCTCTGTCCCCTTCTTTTACATTGGCATAACGTTTGCACAAAATAGTGGAGAACCGCATTGGCCTTTAGAAAAAGAAAGATTTTCCCAAATTTTCTCCGAGACTTGTTTTTCCTTTTACTTCTGCCCATTTGTCATCTTCAAACTTCCATCCAGTTCCCTTTGATACTCTATCTTTTCCATTTGGTGGCCAATAGCTAAAAATAATTAAAAGGAAACATTAGAGTTTGGCAACCTCATGAAAAGGCCTGGGGGGAGGTTGCTAATGTCCCTGAGACCCCCAGAGGAACACAGGAAAGGCACCATTGACTAATTTTCGGAGAATTCTATGTTTCTCACGAAATCCTCAGGTTCATTGGCAGGTTCTTCTCATGTCTAAACTAAAGCTCTGCTCTCTTTTAAATTAATCTCTCTGAAATCTTTGGCTTTTGAATATATACATGTGCACATGTGTATGTTTTGTGTTGTGTCTAAATGTATGTATATGTCTGTACATGTGTTTGCATATTGTCCTCATGGTACCAAATTGACTTAAAAATAAATTAATACTCACAAATTAAATAACTAACCAAAATGTTTTTCAAGTTCAAATGACCTGGATAAATCTTTAGTAAATATGACTAGTTAAATATTGCTGGTTGAATAGAAAGGGTTTCTTTTCTAAGTTATAAACAAAATACCCATGTATTTAACTTTAGGGTACTTGCTTTGATGGTAATTGACTATATCATGTGCTATATCATTGATTAATAGAAAAATAACGTAGTCATTAGACTAAGCTTTATCTAATTTCTACTGTATTTTTTCCAAGCATAATTGCTAAGGATGAATAAATCAAATAAATATAAGTAGAATCAAAGACTACAAAGGTACTCCATTTTAACAACAATTATGTTGCATAATATGTTTACTTAAAGCTTTCTCAAATCTCTTTGACAAGTACACCCTTCAGGTTTTACTAAGTTAAATTAAGTGATAGGTATTCAACCAAATTTTAGATCATTTTCAAATAAGATAAAATACTAAATTTATAACAAAAGGTTTATCTATTTTGGCTTCTTATTATAAAGAAACAAAATATATTTTGGTCTGTTAATTAGTATGTTCTGTTTCACATTTTTTAAAATTTGTGGGAAAAGTATTTTTAGAAATTACAAAGTATGGATTCATAAAATACTGATATGTAAAAGACAAATGAAATTGCTTACTTTCTAGGTTTTCCCTGGATATTAATGATACTAAGAGTTAAAAGTCTAATTAATATACATAATTAAAACTACTAAAACTCAGAGAAATAATTTTGTATGTAAAGTGTACAGAAAAGCAAGATATGTTTTTGGTGAAGAAGGTTGTAAGAAAAAAATAAGAGTATTGCTTTTGTTAAAGAAAAAGTAACTTTTAATAGTTTAGAGGTTAAAGTTTGTTTTAGAATGAAAAAATATATACATAAAACTGAATGAGTAAAAAGTTACAAAAGGATAATGAAAGATAAATCTTAAAATGTATTTGTATGTGTGATCAAACTGAATAAAATTAAATTAATTTTATGTAGCATTTTTAAAAAGTCTTAATATCAAAAGTACACTGATACAAAACTACAATATGTCTTCTCTTTTCAACAAGATTTTTATATATTAAGAGATAGTAAGATATTTTTGTTTACCTTTTGAGCGAACTGAAAAGAGAGATAGATTCTAATGTTATCAAGATATTTTCCTGTGCTTCATGTTTTCTTTATTGGGTCTTTGATTATTTAGGAAAACTAAATATTTAAGAAGTTAAGAGTTTTTTTTACAATCATGTAGCTTCCTGTATTAGTTTTTAAAGTCTTTTAATCATGACTCTGGTTAAATTAATAATTATTATTTTATAATCCATAATTTTATTTTTGATCATGTGTTTCAAAACTATTTTGTGAAACTTTTCAAAATCAAAATTAAGTCTTTTTAATTTCAAGCAAATTTTTGGACATTGCAGAAAGAACCCTAGACCAACAGAAAGCTATTAAACTGATTAGTCTCATTTGCTATGTTAAAATTATATAAAGAACATTGTCAAAATAGAAATTACATTTAACTTTCTTTGAGTTATATTTGGATATGGTATTGACATATATGTTC
This sequence comes from Homo sapiens, assembly GCF_000001405.40. Taxonomy (NCBI): domain Eukaryota; kingdom Metazoa; phylum Chordata; class Mammalia; order Primates; family Hominidae; genus Homo; species Homo sapiens. The sequence continues at coordinate 83,439,341 of NC_000010.11, forward strand.
CAAAATTATATGAGATTCCTAGAAATCTAATTTATCTTGGTATATGTTATCAGTCATAATTTTAATTATTATGTTTTATTGTTGTAGACCACAGAAATAACCAAATTTCCTTGTCAGTTGCATTATTATTATAATGAACTCCCATCCAATCTCTAATCATGGCCATTGTAAATCTTTTTGACCATAAGTGATTGCTTTATTCTAATGCTTTTTTATTTCCCTGAAAGCTCTTTGCAAATCCTACAGTGTTGTGTCCTCAAGGAGATATGTGGAAAAAATAAAAAGAGCTCTACCATTCCTTCTGAAACTATGCCAATCAATAGAAAAAGAGGGAATCATCCCTAACTCGTTTTATGAGGCCAGCATCATCCTGATACCAAAGCCTGACAGAGACACAACAAAAAAAGAGAATTTTAGACCAATATGTCTGATGAACATCGATGCAAAAATCCTCAATAAAATACTGGCAAACCGAATCCAGCAGCACATCAAAAAGCTTATCCACCATGATCAAGTGGGCTTCATCCCTGGGATTCAAGGCTGATTCAACATATGCAAATCAATAAACGTAATCCAGCATATAAACAGAACCAATGACAAAAACCACATGATTATCTCAATAGATGCAGAAAAGGCCTTTGACAAAATTCAACCACACTTCATGCTAAAAACTCTCAATAAATTAGGTATTGATGGGACGTATCTCAAAATAATCAGAACTATCTATGACAAACCCACAGCCAATATCATACTGAATGGGCAAAAACTGGAAGCATTCCCTTTGACAACTGGCACAAGACAGGGATGCCCTCTGTCACCACTCCTATTCAACATAGTGTTGGAAGTTCTGGCCAGGGCAATCAGGCAGGAGAAGGAAATAAAGGGTATTCAATTAAGAAAAGAGGAAGTGAAATTGTCCCTGTTTGCAGATGACATGATTGTGTATCTAGAAAATCCTACTGTCTGAGCCCAAAATCTCCTTAAGCTGATAGGCAATTTCAGCAAAGTCTCAGGATACAAAATCAATGTGCAAAAATCACAAGCATTCTTATACACCAATAACAGACAAACAGACAGCCAAATCATGAGTGAACTCCCATTCAAAATTGCTTCAAAGAGAATAAAATACCTAGGAATCCAACTTACAAGGGACGTGAAGGACAAGGAGAACTACAAACCACTGCTCAATGAAATAAAAGAGGATACAAACAAATGGAAGAACATTCCATGCTCATGGGTAGGAAGAATCAATATCATGAAGATGGCCATACTGCCCAAGGTAATTTATAGATTCATTGCCATCCCCATAGAGCTACCAATGACTTTCTTCACAGAATTGGAAAAAACTACTTTAAAGTTCATATGGAACCAAAAAAGAGCCTGCATCGCCAAGTCAATCCTAAGCCAAAAGAACAAAGCTGTAGGCATCACGCTATCTGACTTCAAACTATACTACAAGGCTACAGTAACCAAAACAGCATGGTACTGGTACCAAAACAGAGATATAGACCAATGAAACAGAACAGAGCCCTCAGAAATAATGCTGCATATCTACAACTATCTGATCTTTGACAAACCTGACAAAAACAAGAAATGGGGAAAGGATTCCCTATTTAATAAATGGCGCTGGGAAAACTGGCTAGCCATAGGTAGAAAGCTGAAACTGGATCCCTTCCTTACACCTTATACAAAAATTAATTCAAGATGGATTAAAGACTTAAATGTGAGACCTAAAACCATAAAAACCCTAGAAGAAAACCTAGGCAATACCATTCAGGACATAGGCATGGGCAAGGACTTCGTGTCTAAAACACCAAAAGCAATGGCAACAAAAGCCAAAATTGACAAATGGGATCTAATTAAACTAAAGAGCTTCTGCACAGCAAAAGAAACTACCATCAGAATGAACAGGTAACCTACAGAATGGAAGAAAATTTTTGCAATCTACTCATCTGACAGAGGGCTAATATCCAGAATCTACAATGAACTCAAACAAATTTACAAGAAAAAAACAACCTCATCAACAAGTGGGCAAAGGATATGAACAGACACTTCTCAAAAGAAGACATTTATGCAGCCAAAAGACACATGAAAAAATGCTCATCATTACTGGCCATCAGAGAAATGCAAATCAAAACCACAATGAGATACCATCTCACACCAGTTAGAATGGCAATCATTAAAAAGTCAGGAAACAACAGGTGCTGGAGAGGATGTGGAGAAATAGGAACACTTTTACACTGTTGGTGGGACTGTAAACTAGTTCAACCATTGTGAAAGTCAGTGTGGCGATTCCTCAGGGATCTAGAAGTAGAATTACCATTTGACCCAGCCATCCCATTACTGGGTATATACCCAAAGGTTTATAAATCATGCTGCTATAAAGATACATGCACACGCACGTTTATTGCGGCAGTATTCACAATAGCAAAGACTTGGAACCAACCCAAATGTCCAACAATGATAGACTGGATTAAGAAAATGTGGCACATATACACCATGGAATACTATGCAGCCATAAAAATGATGAGTTCATGTCCTTTGTAGGGATATGGATGAAGCTGGAAACCATCATTCTCAGCAAACTATCGCAAGGACAAAAAACCAAACACCACATGTTCTCACTCATAGGTGGGAATTGAACAATGAGAACACATGGACACAAGAAGGGGAACATCACACACTGGGGCCTGTTGTGGGGTGGCAGGAGTGGGCAGGGATAGCATTAGGAGATATACCTAATGTTAAATGATGAGTTAATGGGTGCAGCACACCAACATGGCACATGTATACATATGTAAAAAACCTGCACATTGTGCACATGTACCTAAAACTTAAAGTATAATAAAATAGAAATAAAAAATAAATAAAAAGAGCTCTAACAAATACAGGTTTCTAATAACTTTGAGTTTGTACCATTGGACCCTATTTCCTAGACTCTAATAAGAAAAAAGCTGGACTCATAAAACTGCCAACATCAACCAGAACAATAATTAATTACATAGTATTGAACTGATGAAGTATTATAATTTATGACTCTAAAACATTGCTAATTGTTGTTATGTTTTGTTTTCCAGATTTTATTTTTTTCTCTTAAGCTATGTATAGTTTACAGCAATTGGTAAAAATTACTTTCATAAATAGAATTGAAACATTTACTTTTTTCTTTTTGACTGATCCCTCAAAGTTTTTAAACTATTGATGAGTATATGCATATTATGGCAATATAGTTACTCATATAAGTTTAATAAAAATCTGTTCTTCTACTAAGAGGACAATTGGAAACACTTGTTATATTACCAAAGTTTTACCTGGAATATCCTATCATCATATATGACCAGACAATTTTAAGAAAGTGAGGTTGACTTTATAAAGTCACTAGAAGCTTTTTGGACAATTTGCATGACACCTTGTCTACATGTTTCCCTTATAGGATTCCTAGCCTTGTAAGAATGTCGCTTTCTGATAGGCCCAGGAACCTCAAGACATTTTAAGGGTCTTAAGAAGAGAAAAATTCACCCAATTTGTACAGGAATGACAGGCACAGTCTGAGGATGTGTTCTTAATTCTGGCTTCTAAGCCTCAAAAGGCTTTCTAAAAGGTTAATCTGGGTTTCTTATGAAAAGTTCAAGCAAAAGCAACGTTAAAAGACCCTATATAGTAAATCACTATTCATGCCCAACTTATGTAAATGATTAGGCCAGTCTTAATGAGACTAAACATATTTTACAAATTAGTCTTACCACGATTATCTTTGATAGTAATGGGGAGGACTGGATAGAGAAAAATTATGCTACAGGGGGAAAAACTACTATAAGGCAATCATTAATGGATTCCAGCTCATTGTTTTTAGATTTTATTATTTACCTGCAATTTGAACCAAATCCTGAATTGTTTTCTGGCTGCAAGTCTCTGAACTAACATTTCGAAAGTTTTCTTCCATTTTTCCATCTTGGTCTCACTGCAGTTAAAACTGCTTTTTTGGAATCCCACAAGTCAAAACTGATTGACTGGATTAGACTTCAGAGAAATTACCACACATTCAAACAGCAATCCAGAAAAATCTTCCAGATTGCCACCTCCTCTTCCTGCTCCAACTAAAGATCCTTCAAACCCAAATCCAGGAATCTTCTCAACTGATCACCTTCCAAACTCTAGAAAACTAGTTTTTAGACTACTCTAGACAATTGGCTTTGTTTTTCCTCTGTTTCCATACAACTGCTTCTTAATGAAGATCAGTTTGTCTGCATCATATATTGAGGCTAACTTTGAAAGCCCAATACCATCTTGTAGAATTAGACACAACTGTTTAATTAAACTGCACTATTCCCAGTGATGGGAGACTGGTTTAATAGGATATTTTGCCACTCAGCTACAAACTTGGTTATTTTTTCTCAACAGCTACCAGCTGTGTGGGTTTTTGTGCATGAAACTGTAAGGGATGTTCAGACAGAAGAATATTGTGGCTCAGAAAACAACACCCCAAAAGTACAATGCTTTGGCATGTTGAACACTTTGAGCTAAAATAGGAATGCCACAGAAGCTGCCCCCAAATCAAGGACTTTTTTTTTAACCTCTCCTGTCTTCATACTGGCACAGGGAAGAGTTTTACTCTGATATTTTCTCATATGCCTTAAGACCAGACCCTCCAAAGAGAATACAGTTGCCTTCCATCCCCTCACTGAAATTTCATTATCAACCACAGATTGAGGGATGCAACCACACCTGGATGGACTTTGTCACATGACGTTGTCTATCTCTCAGGATCATTCAAATTACAAAGAAAATCATTTATAAAATAATGCCTGCCTCTTGGGTCCTCTTAATTCCCCTAAAAAATATTTACTACCTCTCAAAAATTTCACATTTACCCCTTCTTTTCCTCTATGAAGAAGAGTATATAAGCATGAAAACCTTATTGGGTTATTGGGTAATAATTCTGCAATTCCCCTCTTATGAGTGTTAAATAATTTTTATGCCTTTTTCTTTCTTTATTCTGTGTATTGCCAGTTACACAGCAACTAGCAAACCTTCAGAGAATAAGAGGAGACTTTCCTTTCTCTCCTGGAAGTAACACTGAAGAGCCCGTTTGTAAAGTTCACATAATTTGTATTGTTACCTTTTAAATGGTTTACTGATTATTCTAAGAAAATCTTTTAATGTATCTCCATGACATTTTATAATATAGCACAAAAAAGAAAAATGCTAATTGTATGTATGTTATAAAGTTTTACCATCATTTCTAAGTTAAAAAGTATTAAATTGAGATTGAAACCGCCTACGCAAAATTATGACAGTGAAGCAGCTCCATTATCTGGGGTAAATACCTGGGGATCATCATCTTGTGCTAAGAAAATTTAGGACACGGACACACACGAGGAGTTTAGGAATGGAGGTTTAACAGGCAGAAGAAAGAGAAAGGAGAACAGCTCTCTCTCTCTCTCGGAGGGGCTTCGGGAAGGGAAAGACCAGCTGGCATAGGATGCGCTAGATTTTATAGGCAGGCTTGAGGAGGTGGTGTCTGACTTACCTAGGGCCCTCAGATTGATTTGATCAGGTGTGACTTTTACACAGTGTGCAAGGAAGACTGGCCACCCCACCCCAATCTTTTTATGCAAATTGGCTTTCCACTTGACCTGCGCTATCTTGTCTGCTCCTTACTGTACACATGTCTGGCAAAAAGAAGAGAAGATGGAGCTGCCATTTTGAACATACCTAGTCCCAGGCAGTATTTTTCTGCCGGCATTCACCCGTGCAAGCTTCCAGCTTGCTTGTCTATGTCTGCAGCTTGATTTCACAGGCTGCTATTTGTTAGAAAATGATTTGGGGGCTGCTTTTCATTAAAAAGGAAAACTTTCCCCAGGACTCCTGTGCCCTCACTATCTGCCTAAGTAATTTCTTCTTAATTCCTATATCAACAGCAAGAGAAATCTGACATAGTTGACTCTATCTTGCTTCTCATCTCCAAACTTTCTTTGGTCATTTCTGGGAGTAGAAGCTAAATTTAGGAGGAATTCAGTTTATAGTTTAACTTGAAAGAAAGAATGAGAACAATCTTTCTAAAACTAAACCGTTCCCCATTCAGGGCTGAAATTGTCTTTGTAAGACTGATGAGAGGTCACAAAATAGGTATAGTTTCTGTAATCCTTTACTGCTCAGGAGTTATGTAGCCAAAGGTCACAAAATTTGTGACCTAACTCATGTCTCAACTTATCTTTTAACCCCACCCAGAGGCAGACTCAGTGCACGAGGGCCATTTTCCACACCCACATGATTTCATCCCCAACCAATCAGCAGCACCGCACCTATTCCCTAGCCCCCTGCCCACCAAATTGTCCATAAAAACCCTAAGCTGTAAACCTTGAGGGAGGCAAAGTGATAACTCCAGTTCTTCCATGTGTGCTGGCCTTTCATCAATTAAACTTTCTCCACTGCAATACCGTGGTCTCAGTGGATTGATTTGCTCTGTGCAGTGGGCAGAAAGAACCTGTTGAACGATCACAAAAGGTAAAAAATATATTGTCTTTCAATTTAATTGACGATGTCTCCTGCACATTCTAGGTATTTTAAAAATATTTTAAATTCACCCAAATTAGATTACAAGTATATATGCTTATGTGGTTTTTTGCTGCTGGCTGCTCTTCCTCTGAAACATAAAATATTTTCTGGAACAGTATTTCAAGCAACTGTTGAAAATTAGCCACATGAACTAATCATTTTTATACATATAAAATGTTTTTTTCTAAAACTCAACAGAATAGATGACTCTATTGCTAATTGATCCTAACTCCTCAATTTAGTTAACTTTGAACTTTTCTGTAATTCTCCTAATTTAATCTCTTTAACTCTAATTAGGTTGCCATGTACAATGTCACCCACTTCCACCCACTTGTTTATACTAACCTAATTTTTTAAATCACAAGTTCTACTTTCAGTTGATTCTTAGGCAAGCATTCATTCTGATGATGCTAAGCATTGCTCATAAGTCATTTCCTACTAAATTGGCTAATGCTTTTTTGTTGTGTTAACACATGGACTCTCTTAAATGCTAAAGGTGGCATTTTCTATTTGCTTACCTTAGTATTAGCTTTCTTATCCATAAATAGGAATAATAGTTTCTTTTTGTTTTTATTTTTGTTTTCTTGAGACAGAGTCTCACTTGGTTGCCCAGGCTGGAGTGCAGTGGCACGATCTCAGCTCACTGCAACTTCCACTTCCCAGGTTCAAGTGATTCTCCTGCCTCAGCCTCCCGAGTAGCTGGGATTATAGGTGTGCACCACCACACCCAGCTAATTTTTGTATTTGTTAGTAGAGAAGGGGTTTCACCATGTTTGCCAGGCTGGTCTCAAACTCCTGACCTCAGATGATCCGCCTGCCTCGGCCTTCCAAAGTGCTGGGATTACAGCTGTCAGTTACCACACCTGGCCCAGGAACAATAGTTTCTATCTTACAGTCTTTCATGTTGCCATTAAAGTTAATAAATACATATTTTTTAAAAATCTGTAAACTAAATACCACTACAACAGTCTAAAATATTGTTCTCTTTCTTCTTATTGCTTCTGATGTAAATTAAAAGAATTTTAAAATGTGCGATTTACTGAATGTTAAAAACTTTTATCAAGCTCTAAACTTACTGTAAGCCATTCCTGTGAGGTTGTCCAAAGACCTATTGACAGAGGATCAAGCTGGAAAAATTAATGCACAGCTATTTCAACCTGAACCTTTGGCCCAAACTTCAATGCCACCTCCTTTATGTTGCTCATTATTTGTTAACACTGAGAAAGTAGTTTCTCCTTTACAGACAAAAGCTTGGGCTAAAAGCACACTTAAGCATTTAGTCTAGTACTCTTTTGCAGTGATTGGGAAATTTTATTTTATTTATCTTTTTTAGACAAAAACACCATGGTACTAGTACCAAAACAGATATACAGACCCATGAAACAGAACAGAGGCCTCAGAAATAACACCACACATCTACAACCATCTGATCTTCAACAAACCTGACAAAAACAAGCAATGGGGAAAGGTTCCCTATTTAATCAATGGTGCTGGGAAAACTGGCTAGCCACATGCAGAAAACAGAAACTGAACTCCTTCCTTACACCTTATACAAAAATTAACTCAAGATGGATTAAAGACCTAAATGTGAAACCTAAAACCATAAAAAAAAAAATAGAAGAAAACCTAGGCAATACCATTCAAAACAATTGCAACAAAAGCCAAAATTGACAAATGGGATCTAATTAAACTAAAGAGCTTCTGCTCAGCAAAAGAAACTATCATCAGAGTGAACAGGCAACCTACTGAAAGGGAGACAATTTTTGCAATCTGTTCATCTGACAAAAGTCTAATATCCAGAATCTACAAGAGACTTAATCAAATTTACATGAAAAAAACAACCCCATCAAAAAGTGGGTAAAGGATATGAACAGACGCTTCTCAAAAGAAAACATTTATGCGGCCATATGAAAAAGTAAAAAAGCAAGTTAAAACCAAACCAAAACCAAAATGTGATGTCATTGCACACCTATTAGAATAGCTAAAATTAGAAGGAAAAAAATTAAAACCCTGGCAGTCTCAAGTGCTGAGGAGAATGTGCAGCAACTTTAACTATCACACGTTGCCGATGTTAATGTAAAATGGTACAGCATTTTTGAAAAGTTTGGCAGTTTCTTTTAATGTTAAATATTTGTGATTCAGCAATCCTGCTTCTAGTTGTTTACTTATGACAAAATATGTTCCCACAAAATATTGTTCTTGAATGTTTATGGTGGCTTTATTCCTGTTCACCAAAACAGAAAACAACCAAAATGTCCTTCAGTTGGTGAGCGGATCAATAAATTGTGGTCAATCTACTGGATGGGACATGACTCAGCAATAAAAAGGAATAATCTTTTGATTTACATGACAATATGGATTAATCTTACATATCTTAAGAACATCATAACAGTAAGTGGAAGAAGCCAAACTCAAAAGGCTATGTACCATATGATTTCATTTACATGACATGGAAAAAAAGATGAAACTATGAGGATGGAGAAAAATGTTGGTTGTCTGTGATTCTGGGTGGGGAGAGGCAGAATAACAAAATGATTTGGATGATAAAAATATGTGTATCATGACTGCGGTGGTGGTTCTATGACTCTATGCATTTGTCCTAATGGAAGCCAGAAGGCAGTGAAAGGAAATATTGAATGTGCTGAAAGAAAAAATAACAAGAAAACTCAGCCAAGAATATTATAGCCAACAAAATTGTCTTTTCAAACTAAAGGCAGAATGACAACATCTCCAGGTAAACAAAAACAGATTATTTGTTGCAAGTAGAACCATCTTAAAAAAACAAACAAACAAACAAACAAAAAACCACTAAAGGCAATTCTTCAGGCTGAAAGCAAGGGATACTAGAAAGTAATTTGAATCTACTGAAAAAAACAAGAGTACCAGTAAAGTAATCATGTAGGGGAATTGTATATCTATTCTCTTGCATAAACTAATTTAAAAAGTAGCAAAAATAATATGTATATAATTGTATAATTGGGCCAAAAACATATAGAAAAATTATATGTTTAACAATAATAGCATAAGGAGGCAACTGCAAACAAAACTGTATTGGAGTAAGGAAATGATATCAAATGGTAATCCAAATCCACAGGAAGTAATGAAAAGAACCAGAAAGAGTAGGTAATAAGTTAATAAAACAAAGTATAAATATGTACTATTTCTACTTTCTTTTCTCTCCTTCTATAAGACATATAAAATATTAATTTAAAAAATCATTGGGTTTGTGACATATCATATATATGTATATCTATATATATACACACACACAGATATATAAACACATATATATAGCAATAATGGTAAAATCTAAAAAAGGAGAGAATGCATATACATGAGTGAAGTTTCTGTATTTCACTGGTATTAAGTAAATCTAAAAAATGATAAAAATATATATCATAAGACCTACAGAAGCTATTAAAAACTCTTAAAGTATAATTTAAAATTTTTAATGTAAGATTATTTAATGCTACACTAGAAAATATTTAGTTAATGCAAAAGAAGGTAGTAACAGATGAAGAGAGATGGAAACGTGAGACATAAAATGAGAAAAATGGGAAATATAAGTTCAACAATATCAATAATAATAGTATATATAAATGAGTTAAGCCAATAAAACTGAATAAATTAACAATGAAAGCAGAAATAGAGATGTCAACAATAAATAGTTGAAGACTTTGATACCACACATTCAATAATGAATAGAGCAATTACAGGAGATTAACAAGGATATGGAAGAATTTAACAATACTATAAACAAACAAAACCTAAAACATCTATAAAACACTACATTACCAACAGTAGAACATATATTCTCCATAACAGACAATGGAGACCATGGGTATAAAACAATCCTCAGTAAATTTAAAAGAATTAAAATCAAATAAATTATGTTCTCCAACCACAAACAAATTAGTAATCAATAACAAAGTTAGAAAAATTGACAAATATTTGACAATTACACTATACTCTCTTAAATATTTAATAACTCTAAAAAGAAATAACAAATTTATTGAGACAATTTGAAACAAAAGACAACATACCAAAATTTATGAGATGCAACTAAAGAAGTGCTTAGATATAAATTAAAGGCCATGATATCTATTTTATAAGCTGTACAAAATTAACAAATCCTTAGGCAAACTGACCGAGATAAACAGAAGACACAAATATTACTAACATGGTAATACTAAAGTCAGGAATGAAAAAGAGGACATAAGAATGAACTTTGCAGAAAAATTTTTGAGAAGAACAAGGGAAGAATATAAATAATTCGATTCTAAAAATGTAAGTTACTTAGATAAAATGAGCAAACCTTAGAAATACACAAACTGCTAAAACTGACTAAGCAAAAATAGAAATCTGTAGAGGCCCATTATGGTGGATCATGCCTGTAATCCCAACACTTTGAGAGGCTGAGACGAGAAGATCGCTTCAAGCCAAGAGTTTGAGATCAGCCTGTGCAACAAAGCAAGAACCCGTCTCCACGAAAAAAAAAAAAAAAACAAAACAAGAAAAAAACAGGCATGCCACTATAGTCTTAGCTATTTGAGAAGTTCAGGTGGGCGGATCACTTGAGCCCAGGAGATGGAAGCTACAATGAGCTAAAAAAAAAAAAAAAAAAAAAAAAAAAAAAAAAAAAAATCTGGAGAATCTTTTAACAACTAAGAGACCAAATTAGTGGTTTTTTAAACTTTCCTCAAAAAAAGACTTAGGCACAAATGGCTTCATTAGTAAATTCTATAAATTCTACCAATCTTTATAAAAACCAAAATTCTTCACAAACTTTTCCAAAATTAGGGAAGGGAAAAACTTCCAAATTATTCTATGCGGTCTATATTACCCTGAAGCAAAAATTAAACAAAAATATGGCAAAAGACACAACAAACCAATATTCCTTTTGAGTATAGTTGCCAAAAATCTGCAACAAAATACAGCAAACCAAATTCCATAATATATATAAAGAATTATATATCACGGCTAAGTGGGGTTTATCCCAGGAATGCAAGGTTACTGTAACATCTTGAACCAATCAATGTACTAGATCTTTGCAATAGAATAAAGAACAAAACTCGCCTGATAATCTCTATATACATCGAAATGTCATTTGACAAAAATATTAATATGATACCTGTTTATGATAAAAATACTCAACAAACTAGGAAAAAAAGAGAACTTTCTCAACCCGAAGAAGAAAATCCATGCAAAACCCATCTAAAGTACCTAATGATGAGAAAACATGCTTTTCCTATAAGATTAAGAATAAGCAAACAAAATGTTTCCTTTTGCCATTTCTATCCAACGTTGTACTAGAGGGTCTAGCTAGAGCAAGTCGGGTGGCAGGGGCAGAAAAAGCATCCAGAATGAACAATTTGCTAATACATGTTACAACGTAGGTGAACCTTGAATCCCTATGCTAAGTATAAAAACCAATCACAAAATATCGCATACGACATGATTTCCTCATATGAAATGGCCAGAACAGGCACATCTATAGATACAGAAAGTGGATCAGTGGTTGCTTAGGGCTGGGGGATTAGTAAAAATGCAGAGTAACTCTGAAGTTTAATAGGAGTGAGGTTTCTTTTGGGGGTGACCAAATTATTTTCAAATTCAATTCTGGTACTTATTTACAACTTTCTGAATATAGTGAAAGTCATTTAATCATAGACATTAAATTGGTGAACCACAAAGTAATTGAATTGTATCTAGTTTAAAGATATAATAATTTTAATTTTATAAAATAATTCATAAACAGGCCGGGCACTGTGGCTCATGCCTATAATCCCAGCACTTTGGGAGGCGAGGCAGGTGGATCACCTGTGGTCAGGGGTTCGAGATCAGCCTGGCAAATATGGTGAAATCCTGTCTCTATTAAAAATACAAAAATAGCTGGGCACGGTGGCTCACGCCTGTAATCTTAGCACTTTGCGAGGCTGAGGCGGGTGGATCACCTGATGTCAGGAGTTCAAGACCAGCCTGGCCAACATGGTGAAACCCTGACTCTACTAGAAATACAAAAATTAGCTGGGCATGGGGGTGTGCACCTGTAGTCCCAGCTACTTGGGAGGCTGAGGCTGGAGAATCGCTTGAACCCAGGATGTGGGGGTTGCAGTGAGCTGAGATCCAGCCACTGCACTCCAGCCTGGGCAACAGAGTGAGTCTCCATCTCAAAATAATAATAACAATAATAATAATAATTCATAAATGAGGAGATGTCATTGTTACTATTACCTAGACTAGTGTATACACAAAGTCTGTGACAAGAAAAACAATAATGCTATGCATATATATATTTAATTTTGTGATGCTACTGTATTATTTCTGGCAGGCAGCTTCCTAGGTAGGAACTACATTTCTCAACTTCCTGGATATTTTCCGGTGGTTAGTATTAGCCAATATAGTGGTGTTTGTCACTTCAGGGCCAGATTTTTTAAAAAAAGATATGCATTATCCTTAGTGTCTATTTTCACTTCAGACAGTGAAAAAAAAAAATTTGGCTATTGGGTGCCCCTCACAATGATCTTACATAAAATATATGAAATTTTAAATTTTCTAGTAACTACTAATTAATACCTAGCTAATACAAAAGCAAAAATATAATATGAGAGATAAATGATGAGAGCTTACTAACTTCTAATGAATCCATGATGGCTTAGCCAAAATAGTTATTCTTTCTTTTCATTAGCATGCAGAATCAAAAGCACAAATTCCACAAGAAGATGGACTCATGGCAAGGTACTTTGGGTTTTCTCAGCTCTCTTCCTCTTCTAAGGAAAAGAGACAGTTTATCTTGTTGCAAATCCAACTGAAGTTAATCCCAGAAGTCTCCTGAAATGAGACTCCACCTTAAAACAAAAATCAATCTGTCTATCTATCTATCTACCTATCTACACACACACACACACATGCATCCATCTAACATTATATATGCTCCCCCAGATATCTCCTATTTAGCTCGTTTTAGTTAAAATTAGTCAAATATAAGATTTTTTTCCCAAAATTAACACTTTCAAAGCAAGAAAGTAAAATTTGCTCATTGTGTAATCTAGTTACAGAAATATCTTTTGACTTCATTGTATGTATATTATATATGTATACCTATGTGTGTGTATATATATATATTCTCACCACTATAGTGTTCTCACTACTATATATATATACATATATATAACAGAACATAAGATCTAACCTCTTAAATTTTTGTGTGTGCAATGGTGTTGTCAACCATAGGCACAATGGTATGCAGCAGTTATCTAGAACTTACTCATCTTATATATTATTGAAGGAGTGTATACAAGATGTATATGCATATTATCTTTTGTTTAGTATTTTTTTCTAAGTCAACAGATACATGAGAATATTTGTCTTAAGCACAAAATATTAATCTTCTAAGAGTGTTGTGTAAATTTTACTAATTTTCTAATTCCAGAGTGTTATCATGGTGTTTGGGTTTTTGTTGGTGTTGTATTGTTACTTGTTTGGTTGGTTGGAGTAAAAACTGTCCATTCTGCATTAGAATTCACACACAGTGTGTCTGGATACCTGGTATGTGGTTAGTATCATGTGAATTATCTACATTAAATGATCTTCATGAAACTCAATGATTTTTCTAAATATAAAGATGTTAAAAAGTCAAATCTTCACCGTTATAGCTGCAAAGGACATAACCCATAGCCTAGCTGAAGTAATGGGTCCTGGCAATAACTACGGATTTTATTTTCTTTGTTGGTCTTAGGCCAATTCTGTTCGCTGTTTTGGCTTATATTATCATTCAGGGGCTCTGAGGGCTTTAATTTTTTTCTTTAAGAGACAAGGTCCTCCTCTGTTTCCAGGCTGGAGTGCAGTGGCTTGATCATTGCTCACTGCAGTCTCAAACTCCCCGGCTTGCACTCCTTCCACCTCAGCCTCCCAAGTAGCTAGGACTGCAGGTGCATGCCGTCATGCCCATATCATGCTTTTATTTTCATTTATTTTTTCTAGAGAAGGCATCACCCTATGTTGCCCAGGCTAGTCTCAAACTCCTAGCCTCAAGTATCCATTCTGTCTTGGACTTCTAAATTGCTAGGATTACAGGCCTGAACCACTGTGCCCAGGCTTTAAGATATTTTTAATCTTCACAAATGAGTTCTCTCAGACTAAGCAAGAAGGGTACATGGATGCCCTAGTGTTAAAGACTGGATGGAAATAGGAAAACATTGTATTTTTAAGTGTATAGACCCCATAATCCATGGGACATTAGACAGAGACTGAGGACTCTGAATAGGTATTATTAGACAGAGACCGAGAACTAATTTAGTTGTGGGGGTTATAGTTTTCATGCAACGAATCTGTTTCAGTATGTTAGACAACCACTTGGTGCAGCACGAAAATGTTCTAGTTCTATCAAAGAGAAAAAAAAAAAAAAAAAAAAAACGCGACAGCTCTCCAGGAACTGGGAATTCTGCCAGTAACTATGTTCATGAACCTACTTCTCAGTAGCTTATATAAAAAGAAAATTTGCCTACTACCTTGTTCAAATTATGCCATATCCCTCATAAATACTAAGAATGGTTTATAGTCATCACTTAATATATCTTTTACATACCCACACACGCATGCAAACACACATACATGTACATACATATACACATATACATATATGTATATATAGGTACCAGAATGTATATAAAATAACATGAAACAAATGATAATACAGCATGATAAAATATATTTAACTTATCCTCAAGATTCAAATAATACCACTGTAAATTTTCTGCTTCAGGAACTCAAAATACAATTTAGAAAATGGTTCAGTATTTTAACAATATCTTAAAACACTGTATGAAAAGGTTTAAATTCTTGAAATATAATGAAAGATAAGTGAATACTGAGAAATGGCAAGAAACAAAATTGTTTAAAAGGAGTAAAACCTATATTGAGGGTAGTAAGTGATTTAAATGGCACAATGGAAACTTGAATACATCATGTGAAAGACATTCTTGAGATGTTCTTCCATAATGTAAAGGAAAAGAACAAAACTTTACAGAAGGAGAAAACAAGTTAAGAAGGGTTGCAATGTAATCTACCAATTATATGGGACACTTTGGAAGGAACCACAGCAACTAGAAAAGAAATGATAGGCCGGGCACGGTGGCTCACACCTGTAATCCCAGCACTTTGGGAGGCCGAGGCGGGAGAATCACGAGGTCAGGAGATCAAGACCATCCTGGCTAACACAGTGAAACCCCATCTCTACTAAAAATACAAAAAATTAACCAGGCGTGGTGGCGGGCGCCTGTAATCCCAGCTACTCGGGAGGCTGAGGCAGGAGAATGGCGTGAACCCAGGAGGCGGAGGTTGCAGTGAGCTGAGATCATGCCACTGCACTCCAGCCTGGGTGACAGAGCGAGACTCGGTCTCCAAAAAAAGAAAAAAAAACAAAGAAAGATAAATAAGCTAAGTTAAAATAAAAGACATAATTAGCAGAATCTAGTAGAATAAATAAAAAATATGCAAATATAACATTACTGGTATTATCATTAGATCAAAGTGATATAGAAAATATATGTATGGCCAGGAACTGTGGCTCACACCTGTAATCCCAGCACTTGGGGAGGCTGAGACTGGTGGATCGCTTAAGGTCAGGAGTTCAAGGCCAGCCTGGCCAACATGGCAAAACCCCACCTCTACTAAAAATACAAAAAAAATTAGCTGGGCATGGTGGCGTACATGTAATCACAGCTATTTGGGAAGTTGAGGCATGAGAATTGCCTGAACCCAGGTGGTGGAGGTTGCAATGAGCCATGATGGTGCCACTGCACTCCAGCCAGGGTGACAGAGGGAGACTCCATCTCAAAAAAATAAATAAATAAAATACACACACACACACACACACACACACACACACACATATGCATCCATGTAATAGTGAGGTTAAGTTCCTCATAAAGTACTAAAATTCAAACTCAACATAAACTTCCTGTTTGTAGTGCTCAAAGTCACATACTGAATAAGCATTTTTAAATTCAAATCTAATTTTCTTCTCTAATGTTGGGGTGACATCTTACCAGTCTTACTCCTACACAGGAAATTGTGTAGGAGTCACACATTTCTGAATGTAATACAAACAACAGGTACCTGAAGGTGCTGCAGAGTGAACAGAATTAGACAGACCTTTGTGGGGTGCACACACTGAGAGGAGAGGAGGTTTACAAATTGATTTCATGTTGTCATTGGCTTTTAGGTTTGAGCCAAGAGCATTCACTGTGGGGTGGGAGACGAAGAGGGTACCATTGGAAAAACCACTATCTTTTGGACCTGCCTACCCATGGCCTCTAAAGAAAGTAGAGGAATCCCATAAGAGAAAGGGACAATGAGGGGATTACCTAATTCTCTGACCAAACACACACGGGAGACTCAAAGCTAGTTAGCTATATATATTCACAGGCGTTTACCTTTTCAAAAATGTTATAAACTACACGTTTTAAAGTATATTTAAAAGCAATGAATACTTGCTGAAAAAAATCTAAAATTACAGAAATAGATACATAAAATAAAGATAATTTTCCTATAATTTGATTTATTCCAATTGTCTGAGAAATTAATTAAAATTAAGAATTCAAGGTATGGAAGCCATGGTATATACTTCCTTTCTTTGCTAATCCCAAGAAACTGGAAAAAGTGTTGTTTGTAACTTGGCTTTCACTATCCAGTTAAATGTGTTTGCTGCTTAGCTTCATGATCACTTAAGACAATTCATGCTCCTCTCTTTAACACTTAACAGAAAATTTAAACTTTTTACATACTCAGTAGATTGGGCCTATAGAATTACTAATCCTAAGGAAGTGTTTTCCTGAGCAGAAGTAACTGTGGAGAGCAACATAATTGATATAGTCAAGGACAAGAAATTTGAGAAAAGGTTTTCTGAGTATTCAAATTGAATATCTTTTTATTTTAACTTTTATTTTTTGTAGTAACAAGGTCTTGTTCTTTTGCTCAGGCTGGTCTCAAACTCTTGATTTCAAGCAATCCTCCTGCCTTGGCTTCCCAAAGTGCTGAGATTACAGTCATGAGCCACCATGCCTGGCTTAATTTTATTTTTATATTGGTAAATTTTTTATTTGTCAGCAGACTTCTTTTCTAAAATTTTTTTAAGGACCATAGTTAAGCCTCACAATCTAGTGGGTTAACTATGAATATAAGAATACAGTATGTATAGTATATTTCCAACTATTATATAAATTAAAGCAAAATGATTACATGAAAAGCATCTAAGCGATAAATTATTGATTGTAATGGATGGCACACTAACGTTAAAGAAGTATGAATTAACTTTATTAAAAAATAATAAGTGTCAGTAATTCTGAATTCTGTTTAAAACTTATTTGTTTCCAAGTTCTATTATGGTGTTTCAGGTGAAGTCTACCCGAAACCAAAATATATTTTTCTTCCACTGCTAGAATTGTCCATTTCAATAATTCCGTTTGATCTTTTAAAAGAGAGCATTGTTTGAGGTGGCTGTTCGTTGGCTCTCTGACAAATGGCCCGTGTCCATACGGAGCAATAAATGGCAAAATATCTGCCTGTTCATTTTCCTCTCAAAAGTCTCCCTGACTGATAGTGACAAAACATCATTGGAGGCCAAACAGGAATAGACATGGCTTTAATAAGCTGAGGGGGAATGCCATGATTCACATCCAAGGTCTTTTTTCAGCTTGCCTCTTTCTCTAACAAGGTCCAGGACTCGAGCTGCTCCTCTGGAATAACAAATGCACGTAGATGGAAAGCCCGCAACACCTCTCATCTGTGTACCTAGATTACGGCTGAACTCAGTCGTCCTGATGAATTTACACAGATGGCCAGCTGCAAGGCAGCCTATCTGGTACCTTTAAACATCTCTTCCAAGGAAGAAAAATCCCCCATGATGCTCATCATTTAAGAAAAAAATAGTATCTCTATAAAACTGCTGTTTAAATAAGGACCTTTCCTGTGTCTGGTCACTTTGTGGCTGAAATAAAACCTAGACAAAAATCAGTGTGCTACAATCTGGGCCTTGAGAACCTACCTAAAATGTGATGTTTGGTTAATTGATTGAGTTTAGGAATTTTAGTTTTTAGGTTTTTTTCAAGACTGAACTTTCCATTGAATCAGGAATTCTTGTCTGCTGTAGCTTTATATTCATCCAGCATTGTGTGGAAATTGTGAGCTGCTTGGATCATTGCAGTTGGGAGTCATTCTATTCCTGGGTTAGAAAACTGAGCTAAAGATGAGGTTAAAATTCTAAACCTCCAACTTGGTAGTCTTCTGTGAGATTCAAATTTCTCCATCTTCAGATTTGGGGTGTTCATTTTGAACCTTTATTTGTCGTGGAGGGTTGTTGGGGTAAAATTAAATGAAACATTTTGTATAATGTTCTTTCAACATAGAAGAACCCCAGTATAGTGTCAGTTTCCTTTTCTTTTCCTTTGTCTCAGGAGAATGAACTCTAGGTCCCAAATAGTCAAGTTGGAATTCATCCTCTTTAATTTAGTTTAGCCCCACTTTATGCTTCCTCATCCACTTGATCTATTTAATTCTTTATATCCTATTCCCAATATTCATTCCTGTCCACACCCACAAACACACTCCAACACACACCAACACACACATCTGGCTAAGATATTTGACTTAGAAAAGAAGTTTGTCTTGTTTTCTAGGCTAAAGCCTACCTTAGAAAGCATTTGAAGAGTCCAGCCCTGACTAGTTCCTACATTCTATGACTCATGATGCAAGAGGTGGGCAAGGAAGTGCTGGGTAGAGGAGGGCATGGTCCCTGCTGAGGGCTCCACCCCAGGGCCGGTGCCCACGGACCTAGGTGAGGACAGGCTTTTCTGTTTTCGCGCTTAAGTGTTGCATTTCCCAAGACCATCCTGGCCTGTCACGGCCCATCCTGTGCCTATAAAAACCCCGAGACCCTAGTGGGCACGCACACAAGTGGCTGAACGTCGAGAGGAACACACCAGCGTAAGAGCACACCGACAGACACTGGCAAACCGGTGGGCCATCAACCAGTGGAATGACATGGAGTTTGACAGGGGCAGTTGAAGGAGAGCCTGCATGCTGAGCAGCCCGACTCCTGGGGAAAACCACCTTCCCACTCCATCTCCCTTCTGGCTCCCCCATCTGCTGAGAGCTACTTTTACTCAATGAAACCTTGCACTCATATTCCAAGCCCATGTGTGATCCGATTCTTCCGGTACACCAAGGCAAGAAACCTTGGGATACAGAAAGCCCTCTGTCCTTGCCATAAGACAAGCTGCCTATGGATTGCTAAACTCAAAGGGCACATGAAGACACATGCCCACTGGGGAGCTGTAAACATACACCCCTAGATGCTGCTGTGGGGTCGGAACCCAGGCTCCCCAAGACCTGCCTGTTTGTCTGCATACTCCCGCTAGGAGTTTTGAGCAGCAGGGCACCGAAGAAGCGAGCCACACCCCCATCGCCCGCCCTACAAGGGGGACAAGGGAACATTTCTCGTTTCAGAAAAAAGGTACACTGTGACCAGTTGCAGCAGACTCTTAAGTTTTCACTTCTGCAGTTTTACTTCCTGGATGTTAATTACACTTCCTCCACTCTGTTAAATTCAGGCCTGACATATGATACGCTTTGATTAATAAAATTTGAGGAGAAATGACATATTTCACTTCTGGGGAGATGTTTTAAAAGCCAGTGCCTATGCCATGCATTTTTTTCCCTTCCCCTTGCCACTAAAAATGTTTGAAAAAGTGACTGCTCTGTTAGTCTGGGTTCCAAAAAGAGGACATTGATAATACAGATGAGGGCTCCCAGCCTACTTTTGATCAACTACATCATGATCTGGAAATAAGCATTTCTAAGTCACTGAGATTTGGGAGATTCTCTATTAATAGAGCTTAACCTACCCTCTCATGACTCCAGACTAGAGTAAGCACTTCATTTTGAGTAAGCTTCAGCCTTTTTTTTTTAATTGAATATGCTTTTCATAAACCTTCCTAATACCATAGTCATTTGATTTAACTAGAACAGTTTTATACATTTCGACTTCACATTAAGAGAGTATAGCTGGGCCAAGCTCAGTGGCTCATGCCTCATCCCAACAGTTTGGGAGGCCAAGGCAGGCTGGTTGCTTGAGACCAGGAGTTCAAGTCTAGCCTGGGCAACATAATGAAATCTTGTCTCTACAAAAAATTAAAAAATTAAATATAGGCCAGGTGTGGTGGCTCGTGCCTGTAATCCCAGAACTTTGGGAGGCCAAGGCAGGGGGATCACCTGAGATCAGGAGTTCAAGACCAACCCGGCCAACAGGGTGAAACCCTGTTTCTGCTAAAAAAAATAATACAAAAAAAAAAATAGCCAGGATTGGTGGCTTACACCTGTAATCCCAGCTACTTGGGAAGCTGAGGCACGAGAATCACTTGACCCTGGGAAGCGGAGGTTGCAGTGAGCAGAGATTGCACCACTGCACTCCAGCCTGGGTGACAGGTGAGACTCTGTCTCAAAATAAATAAATAAATAAAAATAAAAATAAAAAATATATTAGCTGGATATGGTGGTGTGTGCCTATAGTTACTCAGGAAGCTGAGGGAGGAGGATTGCTTGAGCCCAGGAATTTGAGGTTACAGTGAGCTATGATCACATCACTGTACTCTAGCCTAGACTACATAGTAAGAGCCTGTCTCTTTAAAAATAACAAAAAATACATATGGGTATGTTCTTGAGTCTCTAGTGCCTACTTGCATTACTTGATAATTTCTTAGATTTACATAGAGTCCTTGCCTTGGGGTTTCCATCAATTTAATCTCCCATCTGTTGCAAAACTCATTTATTCATTTTGGCACCTTAATGACTATTGTTTTCATGAACTGTGTGGGACCTGATATAACCATCTCTTCTTGTGCACTAGGCTTTATAGCCTTAGACTTAGTACCTTTCCTAAGCACAAGCACCTTGATATTGTTCTCTTGATGCCTATTCAGCCACTATTTTTGTGGAAGGATTCAGTTTCTATGTCACTCTCAGTCTATCAAATGAGTGAATTCTATCAAAACTATCCTTTGACCACTAATGGAATGCTCATTTTGTGAGTTTCTCACTTTGTGACATTATCATTTTAATTATGACATAATATTTGTGACAATTTAATAAAACATGCCATCAAAGATAGTTTAACTAATTGTGTGGGCCAAATTAATTTACCTATGAGATGGGAAAATGATTCAGAAAAGGAAATATAAATTGTCTACCACTCCTGTGCACGCTTGTATGCACACACATATACATGCACACATGCACAAACATTCATTAGGGCTAAGTTAATTTATTTCCTTGTATGTATTTTTTCATAGATGCTACAGTTGGTAAGAAGTGAACTATTATGTTTTGGGGGAAAATATCATTGCTTCCCAGATAATTTTTAGAATTTTACAATCTACTCAAAGAATTAAATGTCTATATAATGGATGAATGCCACTAGACTACATTACTCTCCAGGCTGACATGCAGAATTTCTAAAAAGTATTACATTATTGGGATACCATACTGATGTTCCAATATAGTAACCACGTGCTTCCTACCCTGATATAAACTGTCTAAGAAGGCATGAGCCTTCTGTATGTAAGGACAGATCTCTGAGAAGCCTGAATTAATGTTTGATCAGACTCCTGACTCTTCAGCTTGTCATACCTCTCAGTCATACCTCTCAGTCTAATTCTGTCTATTCTCACGTTCATATGCCTTGTCATTGATTTGCCCACAGCATCTAGTCTCCAGTTCTCTTATCAGTAAAAATTATCCACCCTCAGATCTCCCCTAGAGAGGGAGTAGCCTTCCAGACTCATTCAACCACATCAACTCTAGGGGCAGCTCTTCAGGTTTTAGCACACCATTCATAGAAGTAACACTACCCTCTAGCACTTTCTCCTTTCATGAAGTGGGAGAAAAACACTTGTGTGATTAAATAAACCTGAAGTCCAGAAACATGTTAAGTAATTTTCTTTATAACTGCATAATCAGTAGGCCCAGAGTTCAATGTAGGTCTATATCTTCTTATAGGCAGTCATTGAGGAAAAACAGGAAAAGTCATAATGCCTTGAGTACTGATAAAGGAATTGTATTTATTTTATCAGGGATGAAAAAAGTATGAGGCAGAAAAATGGATGCTGATAGTCTCCCAGTTTATGTAATAAACTGCCTGAAGATGAATGGGAGAGAGAGAAAATGGTAACAGAGCTTAGGAGATAAAGAATGATATGCAAAGTGTTCGGGGTAATGAATAAATGTTAAAGAGTATTAATGAATGAGCTTTACAAGATCCACTGGTAGCCTAGTTGGAACAGGATAAACCTTCTAGATTCAAGGTCAACATTTTTGCACTTCCCATCCTCATCCACTTCTTCACTGCCTGAATCATTATTTCTTAATTGCTTTTACCTGTTGTAAAAATGTTACTATGGGATAATGACTGAGAGCAACATACCAAGAGAAACTGAGGATATAGAGTTTTCTGGCAAAGACATTTTGATTTTGTGCATTCAGCATGCATTCCATATCTCTCAAAATCACCATAGGGATTTATTGTTCCTTGTAGAACCACCTTGAGGAAGGAAGGGTTTGACAAGCCTGAAAAACATCCTCTCTGCTGTATTCTTAAAGATGTTAGACCCTCTGAGAGGTGAGGCTGGCTGGGCTTCTGGGTCAGGTGGGGACTTGGAGAACTTTTCTGTCTAGCTAAAGGATTCTAAACACACCAATCAGCACTCTGTGTCTAGCTAAAGGTTTGTAAACGCACCAATCAGCACTCTGTAAAAACACACCAATCAGTGCTCTGTGTCTAGCTAAAGGTTTGTAAATGCACCAATCAGCACTCTGTAAAAACACACCAATCAGCACTCTGTGTCTAGCTAAAGGTTTGTAAACACATCAATCAGCACTCTGTAAAAACGGACCAAACAGCACTATGTAAAATGGACCAATCAGCACTCTGTAAAATGGACCAATCAGCAGGATGTGGGCAGGGCCAAATAAGGGAATAAAAGATGGCCACCTGAGCCAGCAGCATCAACCCACTCGGGTCCCCTTCCATGCTGTGGAAGTTTTGTTCTTTTGCTCTTTGCAATAAATCTTGCTGCTGCTCACTCTTTGGGTCCACACTACCTTTATGAGCTGTAACACTCACCGTGAGGGTCTGCGGCTTCACTCCTGAAGTTAGTGAGACCACGAACCCACCAGGAGAAACAAACAACTCTGGATGCACCACCTTTAAGAGCTGTAACACTCCCTGCAAAGGTCTGTGGTTTCACTCCTGAAGTCAAGCTAGACCATGAACCCACCAGAGGAAAGAAACTCTGGACACATCTGAAGGAACAAACTCTGGTCTCACCATTTTTAAGAACTGTAACACTCACTGCGAGGGTGTGCAGCTTCATTCTCGAAGTCAGCAAGACCAAGAACCCACCAGAAGAAACCAATTCCGGACACATTTTTGCAACCACGAAGGGACAATCACCAAGTGGTGAGTACCATCAGACCCCTTTCTTTCACTTGCTATTCTGCCCTATTTTTCCTTAGAATTTGGGGGCTAAATACTGGGCCAGTTAAAAGCACCTAGCACAGTCGCCAGACTAAAGACACAGGTGTCAGGCTTTCTGGGAAAGGGCTCTCTAACAACCCCCCAAATCTTTGGAGTTGGGAGCATTGGTTTGCCTGGAACCAGCTTCCACTTTTCCTATACTTCTAGGCTGAGCCGAGGGTTGACAGGAAAGCCATTCAGCTCCGGGATCCTGACAATAAGTTGGTTGACCCTGCGGCCATGAGCAGAACCCTCAAAGTCATGTCACCCAAGTGAGACTCGCCCATCTATCCTATCTATCCTGACCCTTGCCTCCTGGGTCCTAATGCCTGTCTGATAAACTTCCTCTCGCTTCTCTTCTCTGAGGCTAGTCTCACTTCTAAAAACCACTCCCTGTCTCTGGTGCTTTTCTAGTTTCTCCTATAAGAATGATTTCTAGTATAAACTTCAGGACTCTGTTACTTTCTTTAGACACCTGGGCTCACCAATCAGAAAGACATAATTTTTGCCCAAAGCCCCATCATAGGGGGGACTATCTGGAATTTTAGGATCCCTCCTCAGACAAGCAGGCCTACCAAAAACTATTCCTGATGCTAGGATATGGGGAGCCTCAGAAATTGTATCCTTCCTATTCATATAAGTGAGGAAAAAGGCATCACCCTTCCAACTCTGGAGATCCCTTCCCTCCCTCAGGGCATGGCCCTCCACTTCATTTTTGGGGCATAACATCTTTATAGGACACGGGTAAAATCCCAATACTAACAGGAGAATGCTTAGGACTCTAGCAGGTTTTTGAGAATGCATCAGTAAAGGCCACTAAATCTGATTTTTCTCGGTCCTCTTTGTGGTCTAGGAGGACAGGCCAGGGGGCAGGTTTTCAATAACGCATCAGGAAGGGCCACTAAATCCTACATTCCTCTGTCCTCCTTGTGGTCTAGGAGGAAAACTAGTGTTTCTGCTGCTGCATTGGTGAGCACAACTATTCCAATCAGCAGGGTCCAGGGACCATTGCAGGTTCTTGGGCAAGAGGTGTTACTGCTGCTGCATTGGTGAGTGCAACTATTCTGATCAGCAGGGTCCAGGGACTGTTTTGGGTTCTTGGGCAGGGGGAGAAACAAACAAACCAAAACTGTGGGTGGTTTTGTCTTTCAGATGGGAAACACTCAGGCCTCGACAGGCTCATCCTTGAAATGCATCCTAAGCCATTGGGACAAATTTGACCCACAAGCCCTGAAAAAGAGGGCTTACAAGGTTTTCAACAAAAGTAAAGTTTGCTAAAAGTTAACGGTGTAAACGTATATTATCCTAACTTCTAATCTTGTGGAAATCAGACCCTATCAGTACCCCTCAAAGCTCAAGTCCCTCAGCACAGAGCCATACAACTAATACCCCCTACTTATAGGGTTAAGAATGGCTACTGCTACAGGAACTGGAATAGCCAGTTTATCTACTTCATTATCCTACTACCACACACTCTCAAAGGATTTCTTAGGTGGTTTGCAAGAAATAATGAAATCCATCCTTACTCTACAATCCCAAATAGACTCTTTAGCAGCAGTGACTCTCCAAAACCACCGAGGCATAGATCTCCTCAGTGCTGTGAAAGGAGGACTCTGCATCTTCTTAGGGGAAGAGTGTTGTTTTTATGCTAACCAGTCAGGGATAATACGAGATGCCACCCGGCATTCACAGGAAAAGTCTTCTGAAATCAGACAACACCTTTCAAACTCTTATACCAAACTCTGGACTTGGGCAACATGGCTTCTCCCCTTTCTAGGTCCAGAAGGTTATAGAACACCAGGAGTATAGTTCATAAAAAATGTATACACACACACACACACACACACACACATTATTATATATGTATATACACACATTATATTGTATATATATATGTATATACACACATTATATTGTATATATATAAGTCAATGCATACATACATTATATACATGTGTATATGTGTGTATGTATGTGTGTGTATATATATGTAGAGAGAGAGAGAGTGAGAGAGATTTGTAATCATTTCTCTTCTCTCTCATATGCTACCACCATGCTGATAAGCCCACAGGAAAAACAATGGAGAATTATGGGTGAAAGAGTGGAAGAGCTGAAAGACACAGACTGTCCTTGAGGAGAAGTACAAAGGCACGCCCCCAAAGCCAAGAGGAGATGAAATAAACAAACCCATCATTGGGAATTTAAAAATCCTGTGCTAAAAGTTAACAAAACAAAACATAAACAAAAAAAAAATTAAACACATGCCAAATTTCTAGTCAAATTAACATAAATCCTTACACTAAAGGTCTTATACGTCAATTCCTATTACCCCATAAGACATGTCCAACTTTCAATAAAAACATTATGAAACACAACAAAAGTTAAGAAAAAACACAGTCTAAAGAGTAAAAGCAGTAATCAAAGCTGTACACAGTTATCATACAGATGGAGGAATTATCAGAAGAGGATTTAAAGGAGCCATGATTAATGTGAAAAAGTAGATCACATGCAAGACCAGATGAATAATGTCAGCAGAGAGATGGGAACTATAAGAAAAATTGTAAGTACATGCTAGAGATCAAGAACAGGATAATACAAATAAATAAAATATTAAAAGAAATAGGAAAGGGGGTATCTTCAGCTACAATGGAGCAAGGAATTATGCAAAGAATTTAAAAGAAAATATAATTATAATGAATTACAATAGAGTCAAGCAAAAAGAGAGTGGAGTGAAATGTTTGAACCATTGAAAGAAAATAAACAAACTCTGCCAATCTAGAATTCTATATCCAACAAAAGTATCCCTAAACTGTGAAGGAAAAATAAAAATTGTCTCAAGAAACAAAAACTGAGAAATTTATTGCCAGTAGAGCTTCCTTGCAAGAAATGTTGAAAGACTACTCAAATTGTTCTGAAAAATAGAGGAAGAGGGTATACATTCAAACTCATTCTACGAGACCAGTATTACCCTGATATTAAAATTAAAGACATGTCAAAAAAAGAAAACTACAGGCCAATATCACGATGAATATTGATGCAAAAATCTTCAACAAAATACTAGGAAACAGAGTTCAACAATACATTAGAAATATATCATCCATCATGACCAAGTGAGATTTATCCCTGGGATATAAGGATAGTTCAATAGATGCAAATCTATCAACATGATACATTATATCAACAAAATGAGGGATAAAAACCATATGATCATTTCCATTGATGCTGAGAAAGCATTTGATAAAATTCAACATTGCTTAATTATAAAATCATCTCACAAAAAATGGGTGTAGAAGGAACATACCTCAACATAATAAAAGCCATATATTACAGACCCATAGCTAGTATCATATTGAATGGGGAAAAGCTGAAAGCCATTCCCCTAATGTCTAAAACGCAACAAAAATGCCCTTTGTCACTAGTGTTATTCAACATAGTATTGGAAGTCCTAGCTAGAGCAATAAGATAAGAGAAAGATATAAAGGGCATCCAAACTGGAAAGGAAGAAGCCAAATTATTCTTGTTTGCCAATGTTATCATCCTATCTTGGAAAAACCTAAAGACTCCACAAGAAAACTGTTGAGCTGATAAACAAATTCAGTAAAGTTACAGCATACAAAATCAACATCAAAAATTAGAAACATGTCAATATGTCAATAGTGAACAATGTGAAAAATAAATTTAAAAAGTAATCCCACTTACAACAGCCACACATAAAATAAAATACCTAGGAGTAATTTAACAAAAGAAATAAAAGATTTCTACAATGAAAATCAGAGAACACTATGAAAATAATTTAAAAAGACACCAAAAAATGGAAAGATATTCCATGTTCATAGATTGGAAGATTCAATAATGTTAAAATGTCCATACTACCCAAATCAATCTACAGATTCAATGAAATCTCTATCAAAATAGTAAAAACATTCTTTACAGAAATAGAAAAAAAATTCTAAAATTTATATGAAACCACAAAAGATCCAGAATAGCTAAAGCTATCCTAAGCAAAAAGAACAAAACAAGAAGAATCACATTACCTGACTTCAAATTATACTAAAGAAGTATGATAACCAAAACAGCATGACACTAGCATAAAAACAGACACATAAACCAATGGAACAGAATAGAGAACCCAGAAAGAAACAAATCCACAGACCTATAGTAAACTCGTTTTTGACAAAGGTGCCAAGAATATACACTGGGGAAAAGACAATCTCTTGCATTACTGGTGCTGGGAAAACTGGATAACCATATGCAGAAGAAAGAAACTGAACTCCTATCTCTGGCCATATACAAATATCAATCAAAATGGATTAAAGACTTAAATCTAAGACCTCAAACTATGAAGCTACTACAAGAAAACATTGGGGCTACTCTTCAGGACATTGGTCTGGGCAAAGACTTCTTGAACAATATCCCACAAGCACAGGCAACTAAAGCAAACACAGACAAATGGGATAATATCAAGTTAAAAAGCGGCTCCATAGAAAAGGATACAATCAACAAAGTGAAGAGACAAACAACAGAATAGGTGAAAATATTTGCAAACTACCCATCTGACAAAGGATTAATAACAGAATATATAAAGAGCTCCAACAACACTATAGGGAAAAAAAATCTCACAATCTGTTCCAAAAATGGGCAAATATTTGAACAGAATTTTCTCAAAGACATACAAATGGCAAACATGCATATTAAAAGATGCTCAACATCATTGATTATCAAAGAAATGCAAATTAAATCTGTAATGAGATATCATCTCACCCTAGTTAAAATGGCTTATATCCATAACAAATGCTAGCAAGAGTGTGGACCATAACAAATGCTAGCAAGAGTGTGGAGAAAAGGGAACCCTTATACACTATTGGTGGGAATGTAAATTAGTGCAACCACTATGGAGAACAGTTCAGAGATTTCCCATAAAACTAAAAATAGAGATAGTATATGATCCAGCAAGCCCACTGTTGGGTATATATCCCAAAGAAAGGCAATAAGTGTATCAAAGAGAGAGCCTCACTCCTATGTTTGTTGCAGCATTGTTTACAATAGCTAAGATTTGGAAGCAACCTAAGATTTCATCAACAGATTAATTGATAAAGAAAATGTGGTACATATACACAATGGAGTTATTATTCAGCCATGAAAAAGAATGAGATCCAGTCATTTGCAACAACGTAGACAGAACTAGAGATCATTATGTTAAGTGAAATAAACCAGTCACAGAAAGGCAAACATCACATGTTTTCATTTATTTGTGGGATATATAAAAATCAAAATAAACTCAGGGACATAATAATAGAAAAATGGATACCAGAGGCTGGGAAGGGTAATGGGGGTTGTTGACGGGGAGACGGGGATGGCTCATGGGTACAAAAATAAATAAATAAATAAAATAGAAAGAATGAATAAGACCTACTACTTGATAGCAAAATAGGGTGAGTATAGTCAATAATAACTTAATCGTGTATTTTAAAATAACTTAAACAGTACAATGGGATTGTTTGTAGTTTAAAGGATAAATGCTTAAGGGATGGATACCCCATTATGGATAATGTGCTTATTTCACATTGCATGCCTTATTAAAATATCTCATGTATCCCATAAATATACCTACCCATGTATTATGTACCCACAAAATTTTTTAAAATAATTTGTTAAAATTTTAGAAAAAGAAATGTTAAATTTTTCAGGCAGAAGGAAAATTATACAAGCCAGAAACCTGTATCTACATTAAAAAAAAAAAAAGAATAGTGTCAGGAAAGGAATAAATAAAAGTAATAATGTTTCTTTAATTTTTCATTTCTTATTCATGTAAAATATATCTATAATAGTAACAATGTATTGTATCGTATTAAAAGTATATAAAGTAACATAGGTAATGGAAATTAATGAAAGCAATGCCACAAAATATGAGAAGGAGGAGTTAAGAATACTTTGTTACAAAGTACTTGCACAACAGGTAAAGCAGTATGTTGTTATTTGAAGGCAGACCCAAATTAATTAAAAATATACAGTAAAATATATAGGCCATTACTAAAAATAGTTTTAAAGAAGTACAATTGATAGGCTGAAGGAGTGCCTAAAATGAGATTACATAAAATGCTCCACATCAGAAAAGAAAGAAAAAGAGGGGAAATAAAGAAAAAAAATGCAGCAAATGGCTACGAATATGGTAGCTATAAATCCAAATATACAATTAAGCACCTTAAATGTGAATGGTCCAAATTCACCAATGGAAAGAAGGAGACTGTCAGAGTGTATAAAAAAATCGAACTATATGTTTTCTATAAGAAACCCACTTTAAGTATTAAGACTCCAATAGTTTAAAATTAAAGAAATAGAGAAATATATTATGCTAATACTAATAACAAAAACTCAGTAGCTATATGAATTTCAGACACAGCAGACTGCAGAACATGTAAAACAACCAGTGATAATGAGAAAATATTACGCAATGATAAAAGAGTCCATTGTAGAAGATATAACAATCCAAAACCTTTATGCATGAACAACAGAGTATCAAATTACAACAGACAAAAATGACAGAACTGGTTTTTAAAAACAGACAAATCCATTACTTTAGTTAGAGACATCAACACCTATATCTCAGTAAATCATAGATAAAGCAGGCAGAAAATCAGTAAGGATATAGATGACCTGAACAACTCTATAAATCAACTTGATAAAACTGACATTTATGCAATACACCACCCAACAAAAATAGCATCTACATTCTTCTCAAGCATTCTAGGCCATAAAACACACTGTGGCTAATTTAAAGGAATATAAATTATTCACATATGCTCTTAGTCTACAGTGACATTAAACTAGAAATCAACAACAGAGAGAGGGCTGGACAATTTTTAAATATTGCAAATTAAATGACACAATTCTAAATCTAAGGTAAAAGAAGGTGTCTCAGCAGAAATTTTAACATATATTTAAATAAATGAAAATGACAATACAATTTATCAAATTTTGTGGGATGCAGCTAAAGCAGTGCTCAGATAGATGTTATAGTATTAAATGCATATGTTAGAAAAGAGGAAATAACTAAAATCAATAACCTGAGCTTCCACCTTTGAAACCATGGGAACAAAGCAAACTAAAGTAAGCAGAAAGAAATAATAAAAATTTGAGCAGAAATTAATAAATTGAACACAGGAAGGTAATAGAGAAAATAAATGAAACTAAAGGCTGATTTCTTGAAGAGATTAATGAAATTATAAGTCTCTAGCCAGCCTAACCGTGAAAAAAGAGAGAAGACACAAATTACCAATATCGCTAATGAAAGAGGAATCATCACTACTGACCATTAAAAGGATAAGGGAATACAACAAATAGCCCTAGTCCCATATATTTGATAACATATGGATAAATTTCTTGAAAGATACAAGTTACCAAACCTATTCAAGAAGAAATGTATTTTCTGAATGCCACTATGTCTAATTAAAAATTATATTGGTAGCTAAAAACTCCTCAAAAAATACTGAGGTCGGATGATTTCAATAATGAATTATATTGTACATCTGAGAAAGTTATAAAGCCAATTGTACACAATATCTTCCAAAAAATTGAAGAGGAGAAAACATATTCTAACTCATTTTATGAGGGCAACATTACCCTAAAAACAAATTTAAAAAAAAAAACATTTCACTAGAAAAGGAAACCACGGATGAGTATTATTCCTTGACATTGATGCAAAAATCCTTTACAAAACTGAGTCCAGCAGTGTATTACACAGGATAATACACCATGACCAAGTGTTTTTCATTCTAGGAATGTAAGTTTGATCCCACCTTTATAAATAAGTCAACGCAATTCATCATATTAACAGATTAAATTATAAAAAACGTATTATCCCATTAATAAATGAAGAAAAAGCATCCAACCATGTTCAACATACATTCATAATTTTTTAAAACTCTGAAATAAACTAAAAATACAAATCCTTGTTTAACTGAATAAAGGGTATATATGAAAAAAAAGACTACAACTAACATACTACTTAATAGAGAGAGACTCAACACTCTCTCCCTAAGATTCGAATAGGGCAAAGATGTCCTTACCACTTTTATTCAACGATATACTGGAAACCCCAGCAATGGCAATCAGACAGGAAAGGAAAATAATCTGTCTTTATTTACAGATGACATGCCTTTCTTTGTAGATAATCCCAAAGAAAATTCCTAGAACTAATAAGTGACTTATGCAAAGTCACAACATACAAAGTCAGTATACAAAAAAGAATGCTTTTCTATATAGCAGCAATGAACAGCTAGATATAAATGCTATAAATATAAAATGCAATATTTTATAAATTTTATAAAATGTAGTTATAAATATTTAATAAAATACTTATTTGTAATTATAAACATAAAATTTTAGGTAAAATTTATAAATATACATTATAAAATTTTATAAATAAAAATATATTTATAAATATAATAGCATTTACAGTAGCATCTCAAAATAAAGTACCTAGGTATAACTCTAAAAAAATATGCATAGGATCTAGCTATATGCAAAAGCAACAAAATACAGTTGAAAGAAATCAAATAAGGTCTAAATAAATGGAGAGATAATTACATGTTTATGGGTTAGAATAATCAATACTATTGAGATGTCAATTCTTCACAGCTTGATATACAGATTTACTGCAATCACAGTCAAAATTCCAGCAAACCTTTTGTAGATATTGACAAACTGATTCTAAAATTTATATGGAGAGACAAATTACCTAGAATTGCAAATACAATTCTGAAAACTAATAATACATTTATAAGATTCACATTACTCAAATTTAATACTTATTGTGCAGCTGCAGTAATCAAGATAGCATATTGGGGTGAAAAACAAACATATCAATGGAACAGAACAGAGAGCCTAGAAATAGACCTATACAATATAGTCAAATGGTTTTGTATAAAGGTGAAATGGCAATTGAAATAAGATATGACAACATTTTCAACAAGTAGTTCTGGAAAAATCAGAGGTACATATTTTTTAAAAGCCCTCTATCCTGGTCTCACAACTTATAAAACATTAACTCAAAATAGATCATAGACCTAAATGTAAAATGAAATATGATAAAACTTTTTAAAGAAAACATACATAAAAATCTGTGTGATACTGAGTTTGGTTATGAGTTCTTAGCTACCTTACCAAAAGGTCAATTCATAAAAGAAGAAATGAGTTGAACATTATTAAAATTAAATATTTCTGTGAAATATATTGTTAAGAGAATTAACAGACTGGGAGAAAAACATCTGCAAATCATATACTTGATAAAGAACTATCATCCAAAATATATATAGAACATTTAAGACCCAATAACAACAACAACAAAAAATCAAAAATGGGCAAAAATCTGTACATACATTTCACTAAATGAGATATACAGACAGTAAATAAGCATATGAAAAGTGTTCAGCATTATTTGTCATCAGGGAAATGCAAATTTAAAACCACTACAAACCTATTAGCATGTCTAAAATCCAAAAATATGACAAAAGCAAGTGTAGGTGAGAATGTGGAGCAACAGAACACTCATGCATTGCATATGGAAGTGCAAAATGGTACAGCTACTTTGAAAACAATCTGGCAAAACAAAACATAATCTTAACATATAGTCCATCAATTATGCTTCTGGATATTTACCTAACTGGTTTGAAAACTCACAAAAAACTACATATGAATAGTTGTAGCCGTTTTTTGCGTAATTGTCAAAACTTGGAAACAACCAAGATGTACTTTAAGAGGTGAATAGATTACCATACCATGATAATCCTTACTTTGAAAACTCTTCAGTGATGGAGAGCCATCAAGCCACTCAATGACATGGATAAATCTTAAATGCATGTAAAGTCAAAGAAATCAGTATAAGGTAACGTGCTGTATGCTTCCATCTATATGACATTCTGGGAAAGATAAAACTATGGAGATACAAAACA
This sequence comes from Homo sapiens, assembly GCF_000001405.40. Lineage (NCBI taxonomy): Eukaryota > Metazoa > Chordata > Mammalia > Primates > Hominidae > Homo > Homo sapiens. The sequence continues at coordinate 83,473,418 of NC_000010.11, forward strand.
TAGTGGTTGTCAGAGGTTTAGGGAGAGGGAAGGGTTGACTGGATTAAACACAGGAGATTTTTTTAGGGCCATGAAATGAACCCTGGCATTCTTCAAGGCTTTATGAAGATCACAGAGAATTACAATTACCCTTTGGATGGGATTTTTTTCCAATTGAATCTAAGTACATGTTATGCACTTTGAAAAACAGGTACTAATTGACTAGAGATCCTAACCTTATGGAAACCAAGTACTGTGGTGATAAATACATAACAGCATCTATTTAAAAAAATCTACAGAAGTTTACAACATAAAGAGTGATACTTGATGTATTTAAACTTTTAGTGGAAATATCAAACATGAGGTTTGAGGAATTTCAGGATGTAATGTAGATCATGTCCCCAAAAATGGAACTGTGATACAAATGTATGCCATCCCCTCAGTGGAGGTGGTGGAAAAAAAAATGAGGCGTTGACCTAAGTAATTTTGGAAATAACTTGAAATCATAAAACTAAGGAAAATATTAATTGTGTATAAGTACTGCACTCTAATTGGTAATATTGTTTCTAATAGGCACAGGGGTTAACAATTCCAAAACTGCTGCCCATCAATCCTGGCACTGAACAAATAAGTAGATGGATGAAGAATGGTGAGAACCAGGCTTCTCACTGTTGGAGTGGGAGATTATAGATAGGCTAGGGGAGAAAGGTACAATGAAACACACTATAATCAGAGTGTATATCTACATCTATGTATCTGTGAATCTATTTATCTGTCTGTCTGTGTATACACTGGCTAAGGTACTTACATATGTTACCTATGTCTGTTCGCTGAGAGGGTGTGGAAGCAATTATACCACTGTAAGGGGTAAGTAAAAGCACATTCAGCACCTGAACCATGGTTTATAATACCATTCTTTAAAACAAGGAATCCACTTTGGGAGGCCGAGGTGGGCAGATCACGAGGTCAAGAGATGGAGAACATCCTGGCCAACATGGTGAAACCCTGTCTCTACTGAAAATACAAAAATTAGCTGGGCGTGGTGGCACGTACCTGTAGTCCCAGCTACTCAGGAGGCTGAGGCAGGAGAATCGCTTGAACCCAGGAGGTGGAGGTTGCAGTGAGCCAAGATCTCGCCACTGCACTCCAGCCTAGCGACAGAATGAGACTCCGTCTCAAAAAAAAAAAAAAAAAAAAAAAAAAAAACAAAAAAAAAAAAAACAAGGCATCATGGTTCTTTAGAGAAATGGCAGATTATAGGGCTGAGGCAAAAACTGTACATTAGAAATCTGAAACATCTTGTAGTGCTAGAAAGTAAGGAAGTACTCAAAAATGAAACGATGACATTATGTCAAAGGGACATAGGATCCAATTGGAAGATCTTCCATTGGACAAGGTGGACAGATTTGAGCAGCAAGATAAATAAAATAGTTTTGGATTATAACCTGCATAAGATAAATGTCCATGATTCCATACTGATATAAATAAATGATTAAATAAATAGGAAGAAGAGACAATTCTCCCATACAGAAGTATTCCAAATAATGTATACAAATATTCCCCCTTCAAAGAAATGGAGTATAACTATCTGTTAAATATGGACTGCATGGTGTGGCTTGATTCCTGAAGGTACAGTGTACAAAGGAGGTATATGAAAATGTAACAATAGAAAAGTGAATCTTGGCAAACACTATCTTAGCCAGGTGATCAAGTTTAACATGATCAGTGATAAGTCAAGTTGATAGCATTTGCCTTTGATATGTTGCATTCAGAATGACACTTCACAGCTGTGGTCCTCCCCGAAAGCAAAAATCCCAGTCTGACCACGGGAAGAACATCAGACACACCAAAATTAAGACACATTCTACAAAACACCTGGCCTGTCAAGGTTGACAAAAACAAGTCTGAGAAACTTTCACAGTGCAATGGACCCTAAGGATACATGACAATTAAAGGTAGCATTGTATCCTGAAGAGGATCCTAGAACAGATAAATGACCTTAAGAGTAAAGTAGCAACATTCAAATCAAGTATGAAGATTAGTCAACTTTTTAAAAACAAAAAAGGTTTTATGAGTGAATATAAAATCGACATCCTTGCTTCTCACTGGGCCATTAACTACCAAGCAAATTTTAAAAGAGGTAGGAGCATATCCACAGAGTGAAGAAAGCTCTGGGGTCTTCAAGGCTTTATGAAGACCACACAGTATCACAACTGCCTTTGGACGGGCGTTTTCTTCCAATCGAGTTTAAGTACATGTTACAACTTTGAAAAACAAGTACTAATAGACTAGACATCCTAATGATATGGAAATCAAGAAAAATGTTCTTCATTCTTTCTCTCTAAATTCTTTCACTCAGGTAATGTTTTGCCTGGAAATAGTAGTGCATGTTTAGATTACAAAATGTAGTAAGTTCTAATAACATCATCTTGCTAGGGATGAACTGCTTATAGGCTAAGAAATTATTTACCTTCTTAAATTTTGTAGGTATGACCCCAATGCATTTATGTTATTATTCGGAGTACTAATTTTTAAAAATTTGAAATTGGGACACATGAGTAGTTTAGGGTTTGATTATTCTAACGTTGGAAGCTTTATAATAGCTACCATAGATGCAAAGAATGACACTTCCAGACCGAATCTGCTGACGGGGACTAGCTTCCACCAGACATCTCAGTAATCCTTCTAGCTGAGAAACGGTTGAGAAAAAAAATTGTAAAGGAGGTTTCTGGAGCTTTTGAATTGTTTAATTTTATGGGTAAGGAATAGACTTTAGTTTTAGGCTTTAATTTTGGTGGGAATTTGTTAATGGTTACCTATATTGCTCTAATTTGAGCCATTTCTGTGGTGCAGGTGCTGTATTGGTGTAATGCTATCATGCGGCACTCACCATACAGTTCTTCAGCGAGGAGGATTGGTCAGGGGCCTAACCACAAACCCGAAATGAACAATAGAATACTCAGTAAATATTTGGCCAAGCTTGCAGTGTAGTCTTGGAATTAATTTAAATGTTGGCTCTCTGACATATTTCA